>NC_000014.9:77338985-77490500 GCF_000001405.40 Homo sapiens | reverse complement strand
TTGGCTGCATTGTCTATGAAGTGAAGATGATGCTCACACCTACCTAAAGTGTTGTTGTGAGAATCCAGTGAGTCTGTACATATAGGGTGATCGGCAAGACTGGCTCCGTTCTTTTTCTTTCTTTTTTTATTGCCTTTACCTGGGAAAGCCAACTGGCCACATTTTTTGTGGGGCCCAGTGCAGAATGAAAATGTTGGGCTTCTTGGCCGGGTGCAGTGGCTCACGCCTGTAATCCCAGCACTTTGGGAGGCCGAGGCGGGCGGATCACGAAGTCAAGAGATTGAGACCATCCTGGCTAACATGGTGAAACCCCATCTCTACTAAAAATACAAAAAATTAGCCGGGCGTGGTGGCTCACGCCTGTAATCCCAGCACTTTGGGAGGCCGAGGAGGGCGGATCACGAAGTCAGGAGATTGAGACCATCCTGGCTAACACGGTGAAACCCCATCTCTATTAAAAATACAAAAAATTAGCTGGGCATGGTGGCGGGCGCCTGTAGTCCCAGCTAATTGGGAGGCTGAGGCAGGAGAATAGCGTGAACCCGGGAGGCTTAGCTTGCAGTGAGCCAAGATCGTGCCACTGCACTCCAGCCTGGGCGACAGAGCAAGACTCCATCTCAAAAACTAAAATAAAAAAAGAAAATATGAGGCTTCTTAGCTATTTCCAAAGGGCAACAGCAGAGCGTTAAACTAAATATGGGGCTCAGTGCAAAGACACAGGTTGCACACCATGAAGCCGGCCCTGTGCGGGGAGCACTATGCTTGGTCAGCACTACTCTTATTACAGTGAGGAGCTTTGCAGCCTCCGCTGGGTGCCAGGGTGGGTTGGCTTAGAATAGTACATACCTAATCCCAGCTACTCAGGAGGCTGAGGTGGGAGGATTATTTGAGCCCAGGAATATCGAGGCCAGTCTGGGCAACATAGCAAGACCCAGTCTTAAAAAAAAAGAATAGTACTTACCAATCAGGAAGGTAGTTGAGGGAGAATGAAATCCAGCCCTATTCCTCTGCCTGTGGCTAAAGAGGCCTGACTAAAGAGTCAATTGCTATTGTAGGCAGGGTCTCAGGCCCGGCTAAAGAGGCAATTGCTGTGTTGTATGCAGGGTCTCAGGCCTGGCTAAAGAGGCAATTGCTGTTGTGTGCTGGGTCTCCAGCACCTCCCACCAGCATGACTTAGTGTGCAGCCTGGCTCTGTGTGGTTGGGCCTGGGCTTCAGGAGCTAGGGCTGCGGGACCTGCACTTGGTGACTGAATTTAATTATCCAGAACAAGTTTCTGACCCCTGAGGCACAAAGGAGAAGGGAGAACAGGGAACTGTGAAGGGGCTGAAACAGGTTAGCAGGCGGGCTCACGCAATGCAGTAAGGGTCTGTGGGGATTGGGACTCTGTTGTGTTAACTGGAAACACGTGGGTCAGGGGCTGCCCGGCCAAGCCTGGGAAGGTAAGCATAGGGGTGAGAGAGAGAGAGAACTGGTAAAGATATACCTCAGATGTATCTCTATTTGGGCAGTGACACCACCCCCCAAAAGAATGGCCTTGTGTGTTTGTACATGCATGCAACTCCACATGTAAGCTTAGAAGATGGAGAGAGGTGGTCTTGTGAGACAGGACTGGAGTTCTTCAACAACCTGGAGTCTCAGAATTCCCCTCAGAATGCCATGAGGATACACCTGCCGAGTGATTTTGCAGCAGTGTTCGGGGGACCTGAATGAGGTGTGAAGAACTGGCATGTTGCCTGGCGAGGGGGGTGCCCCTGATGGCTCCTCTGTCTGCCTTCTGAGTACCATCTGTCGCCACCTCTGGGTAACGTTCATTGCATGCTTAGCACCTACAAGGTACTATTCTAATTCAACAACCCTATGAGACAGGCGCTGGTGTTTCCCTAAATTACAGAGGAAGGAACTAAGGCAG
The DNA here is from genome assembly GCF_000001405.40 of Homo sapiens. NCBI lineage: Eukaryota > Metazoa > Chordata > Mammalia > Primates > Hominidae > Homo > Homo sapiens. Next base: position 77,488,590 of record NC_000014.9, on the reverse strand, counting down.
ATTAAGTAACCTGCCGGAGGTCATGCAGCTAGTAGGTGTACATGTTGGGATTGAACCCCGGTCATGTGGACTCCAGCCTGAACTCATTTCCACCACATTCAGCTGAGATGAAAGTGGAACTGCTCTGTGAAGACAGAAGGTGGTGGCCCACAAGGGGTTACTGTCACCAGTGTCTGTCCACACGTGCATAGTGTGCACCAGTGCGCAGGTGTTGAGATCAGGCTGGGCTGAGCTGAATCCCAGTTCTCTTATTGTAACCTTTAAGACCTTACATAAGTCCCTACCCTCCCTGAGCCTCCATAGCCTCATCTTTAACATAAAGGTGATCACGCTCGCCCCTCAGGGTTGCTGGTGTTCATTTGTTTACGTGGCAGTGATTTATCGGGCTCCTATAATGTATCAGGCACTGTGCTCAGCACAGTATCCCACAGTGAACAAAGCAGACACAATTCCTGTCTGCACAGAACTTACCTTTGAGTTGGAAAAAGTGACAGATGGCATGGAAATTGCCTAGGAAGGCCTGGTGTGTAAGATGTGTCCAGAGGTTGGCTATGGGCTGGGCCTCTGGGTGCCCGGCCCTGATCCCCTCAGCCCTTCTGGGAGATGTACGTGGCTCACTTGAAGTGCCTGGAGAGCAAATCCTCCCTTCTAGCCCCAGAGCCTTTAACCAGGACTGGTGGAGTTGGCAGATAAATCCCCAGCTCTGTCCCTGCTCGAGGGGTATCGGAGGAGCCCAGGGGGATTGGCTGCAGGTGCCCATCATGGTTGCTGCTTGACTGCATCCTTGACTGCCGCCTCCCCTTCCCTGTCTCGCTCCCCTACCCTCTTCTGGCATCTCCTGGGGCCACCTCCCAGTGGAACCACCTACACTGGAACCCTTGTCTTGGGGTAGGCTTCAAGAGAACCCAAACTAAGATGAGACGTTCCCCACATCTCTTTCCACTCCCAGGAGTTCCGCAAGGGCTGACGTACAGAGAGGGAGACTCCCAAGAGCAGCTCCAGAGAGGAAAGGCGGCACGTGTGGCTGTGACACTTGGCCAGAACCTCTCTGGCCTTTGCCCACCCTATGGTCTGACTGGGCACCAGGGAGAGGAGTGGGTAGAGAGGTCTGGAAAGGAACATTTTGAGCACCTACTGGGTAGCAGGGCCTGGGCTAGGCTTAGTCCTGTTGTCATTCCCATTTTGCAGATGAAGAAGCTCACAGAGGCTTCTCTCCTGCTAGGGCCCCACAGGTTAGAAGCCAGGCTGCCAGCAGAACTCAGACCAGGCAGCCCAATCTACAGCATGCTTGCTTTTCTTTTCTTTTTATTATTTATTTATTTATTTATTTATTTATTTATTTATTTAAGATGGATTCTCACTCTGTTGCCCAGGCTGGAGTGCAATGATGCGATCTTGGCTCACTGCAACTTCTGCTGCCTCAGTTCAAGCGATTCTCCTGCCTCAGCCTCCCGAGTAGCTGGGACTACAGGCACCTGCCACCATGCCCAGCTAATTTTTTTTGTATTTTTAGTAGGGACAGGATTTCACCATGTTGGCCAGGCTGGTCTCAAACTCCCGACCTCAAGTGATCCACCCGCCTCAGCCTCCCAAAGTGCTAGGATTACAGGCGTGAGCCACCGTGCCTGGCCTAGAGCATGCTTTCTTAACTACAGCACTATTCACATGTGGGTTGGATGATTCTTGTGGGATGGCCTTGTGCACTGCAGGCTATGTGGCAGCATTCCTGGCCTGTGCCTACTAGATACTAGTAGAAACCTCCTCTAGCTGTGACAATCACAAATTTCTCCAGGCAGTGCCACATGTCCCCAGATGAGAACCACTGCATAACCACTGTACCACCTGCCCAGGCAGGCCCAGCCACCACCAGGCTAGGGTATCCCAATCAGCCAAAAGGCTGCACAGCCCTGAACACCTGCTGCTCCGAGACTGCCTGTCTCTATGCCCCAGAGACTGCAGACAGTGGAGATGCTGAGCAAAGTCACAGGCACAGTTAGGGCTTTGGTGGAATTGTGGGTGGGAGCTGCTAGGAAGCCAGCACTTAGGGATGCTCCAGGCCTCCCTCATTGGTCAGTGAAGGGGCTGAGTTGTTCCATTACTCACCCTTCCACCTTCCACTCATCCACCCTGCTGTCTAGACTAGAGGGCTTTGACTCAGCAAGAGACTCCAGGCTGGGGCCGAGATGGGCCCACGGCTGCCCTGGGACCAGGCGTTTAGTGCAGGAGCCCTGGAGCCAGGTGTTTGGACACCGCAGAAGGGGAGGTCAAAGAGGGAGAGACAGAAGATTCTGAATCTGTTTCCAAACTTTCAAGAAAAAAAAGTAAGAGTGAGAAACTAGGCTGATTAAGCCCCTGATTTTTGAAGGGGATACAATACTATCACTTTATAGCTTGCAGGTTAAGAGAATGGGCTCTAGGCCCAGACTGCCTGGTTTAAATCCTGGCTTTATCGCTAAATGTCTGTGCAACCTCAGGCAGGTTACTTGCCCTCTCTGTGCCTTAGTTTCCACTGTAAGACAGGCATGACAATGAGGATGTAAGACAGGGAGGATGAAATGAGTGATGAAGTGTTTAGAATAGTGCCTGGTGTGCAGTAAATGCTGTGGAAATGTTTGATAAATAAAATTCTCACAGTCCTTGCAGGGAAGAATGATTATCTTCATTCTGCAGACGAGGATATTGTCAAGTTGAAGAAGTTAGTAAGAGGCAGAGATGGGATTTGAACCCAAGCTTATCTGACTCTCACAACCAGTGTTTGTCAGCCATACCATACTGCCCAGGTATGAGACGGGAGGGGTGGCAAGGGTGTGGCCTGAGTGAAGCAGGGTCCACAGGTGGCAGGTCCCGGAGACTCATAAGGCAGCTCTGGGAGGTGCTCCTTTTGCCCTGGCATAGAGACCTGGGCAGTGGCTATAGCCTGGAGGCAGGTGGCAGCCACTGAGCCCCTAGTGCCCCACTGTCTGGGCAGATGAATGCTGAACAGGAGTCAGAGATGACATGGATCTGCTTTTCACTTACCATCTGATCTGAAGCAAGGACTGTCCCGGTGAGGACACCATGGCCAGTGGCTGTTGGCAGGGATGAACTGGCTGAGTCAGCCATGCCAGCAGCCTGGAATAGAAAAAGGAGCCAGGCCCCAGGCAGGCAGGCGGAGGAACACAGCCCTCATGTGGATGGCCTGGGTGGGGCCTAGCGGACAGGAGCAGGCTGAGGGGAAAGGCCAAGGCCTGCTGCCCACTCCCTGATAGGACCAGGTGCATCCCTGGGGGCCTTTCTCCTCTGGCCTGTGAGGGCCTTGGGGAGTGGGAGGCACATTGTCTGCAAAGGACACCACTCTCTGAAACAACTCTCTCCCCTTCTTGGGCTGTGGTTTCTTCATCTGTGAAATGACCCTCCTTTTCATGCCTTACACTGGCATCCTCTGTGAAAGCACTTTGTGGATACAGTCCACTGTCTGACCAGCTACACCCTCACTTACCCGTTGAGGGCCTTAAAGCAGGCAGTGTGGAGATTTTACACTACAGATACACACTCCAGAGAGATGTAAGTCACAGGGTGAGTTTATGACCCGGTCAGACCCCAGGGCTCCTGGATCTGCCTGGCCAGCCTTTTCCGGATCCCCGTGGGGTGAGCCCTGACCTGTTACCTTACCTTCCTTCTCTCTCCCTCAGGTCTCAGCCTCCCCAGATCCTAGGCCTCTGAAGGAAGAGGAGGAGGCACCACTGCTCCCCAGAACCCACCTGCAGGCAGAGCCACACCAACATGGATGCTGGACTGTCACTGAGCCAGCAGCCATGACCCCAGGCAACGCCACCCCTCCCAGGACCCCAGAGGTTACTCCGTTGCGGCTGGAGCTGCAGAAGCTGCCGGGATTGGCCAACACAACCTTGAGTACCCCTAACCCTGATACCCAGGTGAGAGCTACAGAAGGGCCAGCAGCTCCTGGCTCTGCCTGGCCAGCCTTTTCTGGGTCCCTGTTGGGTAAGCCCTAACCTGTCACCTCACCTTCCCTCTCTCTTCCTCAGGCTTCAGCCTCCCCAGATCCTAGGCCTCTGAGGGAAGAGGAGGAGGCACGACTGCTCCCCAGAACCCACCTGCAGGCAGAGCTACACCAACATGGATGTTGGACTGTCACTGAGCCAGCAGCCCTGACCCCAGGGAATGCCACGCCTCCCAGGACCCAGGAGGTTACTCCCTTGCTGCTGGAGCTGCAGAAGCTGCCAGAATTGGTCCACGCAACCTTGAGTACCCCTAACCCTGATAACCAGGTGAGAGCTACAGAAGGGCCAGCAGCCCTGCAGACACCCGGAGAGGAGCGGGGCTGACAAGGTGGGCTCAGGATACCCTATATCCTGGATTCCGTGGAGGGTGGGGCTGCTGTGTGGGGTCAGAGGGCAGGCTCCCCATGCTCTCCCTGTGGTGTAGGGGGCAGAGGACCTGCCCCTCTACTTTCTAGCTGTGGGCCTTGGGCAAGTCTTTTGACTCTTTGAGCCTTTGTTCTCTAGACCATGGCAAGAGACAAACAGCACCAACCCAGCAGGGCTATGTGAGCACCAGTGAGTGGGAAATGCTTTGTAGGCTACAAGGGATTCCAGGAATCTAAGGAGGCCTCCTGGAAAAGACCTGCAGGTCTGATCCCCTAAAGAAGGGGTTCAGTATGGAATGGAGTAGGCTGGTGGCATGGGGGACAGCCACCTGAAGGGCTTTATAGGAGAGGAAATTAGAGCAGCTGGCAGAATTCTAGTTTCAGGCTCCACTGCCTGGCGTGAGTCCTTCATGATAATAATTCTGCATGTTTGTGTAGCAGCTATAGTTTACAAAACACTTTCCCCAGAAGGGGAAAAAAGACCATAAAAGTATAAAACACAATTCTAAAATTATTTAAAAGTGTCTCTCTTCTTTTCTCTACTTACCTACACACACACACACAGACACACACACACACACGCACACACGCACACGCACACGCAAAAAACTGGAAGGCAGAAATGTCAGTGATAGAATATAGGTGATATTCTTTTTTCTTTCTTTTTTTTTTTTTTTGAGATGGAGTCTCGCTCTGTTGCACAGGCTGGAATGCAATGGCATGATCTCAGCTCCCTGCAACCTTTGCCTCCTGGGTTCAATAAATTTTCCTGCCTCAGGCTCCCAAGTAGCTGGGTGCACCAACATGCCCGGCTAATTTTTGTATTTTTAGTAGAGACGGGGTTTCACCATGTTGGCCAGGCTGGTCTCGAACTCTTGACCTCGTGATCTGCCCACCTCGGCCTCCCAAAGTGCTGGGATTACAGGCGTGAGCCACTGAGCCCAGCCAGAATATAGGCGATTTTCATTTTCTTCTTCATAGTTTGCTGTTTTTTTCCAAATTTTGTTCAGTGAACCTCATGTTACTTTATTGAATAGCCTAATGTTTCCGAAGTTCAGTTTCACATAAATGATTTTCTTTTACTTATTTTCCATCCATAATGTGGTGCAAGAGAGTTCCTCCAAGGGCTGCTGTGTCGGGAGCACTCAGCTTCCAGCCCTACCATGAGGAATTGGAGGCTCAGAGCTGCCCAGGTCCAGCAGATGCATGCTGGCAGAGCCGAGATTCAAAGCCAGCTTCTCTTAAGCTAGTGAGTGTCAACCCTGGCATGTGTTAGAACCGCCATACCTGGCCCCAGCCCAGACCAGTTCAGTCCATACCTGGCATCTGCGAATTAGGAGTCCCCAGGTGATTCTAATGCACCTCCAGGCCGTAAGCTGTGATTCTTGTGCCCTAAGAGGCCAGGAAGGTTAGCCAAAAATGTCAGCCAAGAGAAGACAGCTGGTTTGAAGGAAAGGTTGGGCCTCTCACCTCTGACCCTGACCCCATCATCCCTCGTCTCTTTGGAATGCAGCTCTAAGACCTCCTTCACTGGCCGGCCTGGCCTGTCTCCTGCAGGTGACCATCAAGGTGGTGGAGGACCCCCAGGCCGAGGTGTCGATAGACCTGTTGGCTGAGCCCAGCAATCCCCCGCCCCAGGATACCCTTAGCTGGCTGCCCGCCCTCTGGTCCTTCCTCTGGGGAGACTACAAAGGAGAGGAAAAAGACAGGGCCCCAGGGGAGAAGGGGGAGGAAAAGGAGGAAGACGAGGACTATCCTTCAGAGGATATCGAGGGTGAGGATCAAGAGGACAAAGAGGAAGATGAGGAAGAGCAGGCGCTCTGGTTCAATGGAACTACAGACAACTGGGACCAGGGCTGGCTGGCCCCCGGGGATTGGGTCTTCAAGGATTCTGTCAGCTACGGTGAGCACCCCCATCTTGGCATCCCCAGGCTGCTCCCCTGTAGGTACTGAGTGGAAATGGGGGTGAGGGAGAGGGTGGAGGCTTCCCAGGCAAGACCATTGAGGAAGCCAGGAGCTTAGGCCTTGTTCAAACACCATCATCAACTCAAAAGTAACATTGACAATAGCTTGCAGAGTTTTTCCTTTTTTTTTTTTTTAATTTTTTAATTTGAGATTGGGTCTCGCTCTGTTACCCAGGCTGGAGTGCAGTGGCATGATCATGGTTCACTGCAGCCTCAAACTCCTGGGCTCAAGCGATCCTCCCACCTTAGCCCTCCCACCTTAGCCTCCGAATAGCTGGAACCACAGGTGCATACCACCAGGGCAGGCTAATTTTTTTATTTTTAGTAGTGATGAGGTCTCCCTATGTTGCAGAGGCTGGTCTCAAACTCCTGGGCTCAAGCAGTCCTCCCACCTCGGCCTCCCAAAGTGCTGGGATTACAGGCATGAGCCACTGTGCCCAGCCTTTTTTTTTTCTTTTTTTCTGAACAACATTTGACCCTCACAAAAATCTCTGATATCCCCTAAGCAAAAGACATTTGTTACTATTATATTTATTTACATCTGTGAGTTTCCAAGGATTGAGAAATTATAAATTCCATCACTCATGACTGACCTTATTTTCAGATTGTGTGTGTGACTTTGACTCCTGACTGTGTTGCTTACCAGCTGAATGACCTTGGGCAAGATTCTTCAACTCTCTGTGCCTCAGTTCCTTCCTCTATAGAATGGGGAATGGTATAATCTTTACTACATGGAGTTGGCTGTAGAGAGTATTAAGTGAGTTAAGACATATACAGTGCCAGCATGGAGTAAAGAAAGTATTGGCTATTTTTATTATTTTTGTTAGAAAAAGACACAACAGCAGCACAAACTGTTCAGAAAATATTACCTTAAGCCTACCAGCCTCTCATGATGACAGATTTTTTTTTTTTAATTTTTTTGAGGTGGAGTCTCACTCTGTTGCCCAGGCTGGAGTGCAGTGGCACAATCTCGGCTCACTGCAACCTCCACCTCCCAGGTTCGGACGATTCTCATGCCTCAGCCTCCCAAGTAGCTGAGATTACAGGTGTGGACCACCACGCCTGGCTAATTTTTGTAGTTTTAGTAGAGATGGGGTTTCACCAGCTTGGCCAGGCTGATCTTGAACTCCTGACCTCAAGTGATCTGCCTGCCTTGGCCTCCCAAAGTGCTGGAATTACAGGCATGAGCCACCGTGCCCGGCCATGATGATGATTTTTATTTTTGCGTATTGTGGTTCAGGTTTCCTCTGGGTGCAGACATGTTTTATGCATAGTTGCAGCCATTCCCCTTGGAGCCCTGGTGTCTTGTCAATGGACAGAGGTGCCTATTGTTAAGACTAACTTGTGACAGGCTCTTCCCAATTCACTAAAATAATGTAAACTCACAGAAAATTTTCATGACAGCCGGGCATGGTGGCTCATGCCTTGTAATCCCAGCACTTTGGGAGGCCAAGGCAGGTGGACTGCTTGAGCTCAGGAGTTTGTGATCAGTCTGGGCAACATGTTGAAACCCTGTCTCTACAAAAAACACAAAAATTAGTTGGGCACAGCGGCGCCTGCCTGTAGTCCCAGCTACTCGGGAGGCTGAAGTGGAAGGATCACTTGAGCCTGGGAGGTCAAGGCTGCAGTGAGCCATGATTACATCACTGCACTCCAGCCTGGGTGACAGAGCGAGACCCTGTCTCTAAAAAAAAAAAAAAAAAAAAAAAAAAGGAAAAAATTTCCGTGTTTTTCAGCTTTTCTCCCATTAATTTTCCTTAAACTCTTGGCGCCAGTGCTGGCCTGCCTGTGAAGTGTGGAACCAGCTCTCAGTATTTTGGGGGTTTCACAGAAAGCACTGGGTCTCAGGCCCTGCACACCCTGAGGATTTGGGCCCAGCCACAGTGTATTTCAGCTCCCTCAGATCAGAAGTGGGTCCCTAATATGGGTAGCAGGGAAATTCTTTTTTTTTTTTTTTTGAGACAGTGTCTCACTGTGTCTGGAGTGAGACACAGTGGCTGTGGCTGGAGTGCAGTAGCATGATCACAGCTCACTGCTGCCTCAACCTCCCTGGCTCAGATGATCCTCCTGCCTCAGCCTCCACAGTAGCTTTTTAAACATTTTTTGTAGAGATGGGGTTTTGCCATATTTCCCAGGCTGGTCTCGAACTCCTGAGTTTAAGCAATCTGTCTGCCTCAGCCTCCCGAAGTGCTGGGATTATAGGCATGAGCCACCATGCCCAGCCTGGGAAATTATTAAATATCTCCAGTGCAAGGGAAATATTGTCACCCTTGGTTTTGATTGACATAGAAACTATAGCTCAGGCCAGGTGGGTGGCTCACACCTGTAATCCCAGCATTTTGGGAGGCTGAGGCTGGAGGATCGCTTGAGCCCAGGAGTTCAAGACCAGCCTGGGCAACATGGTGAAACCCCGTCTCTACAAAAAATTTAAAAATTAGCCAGGCTTAGCCGGGTGCAGTGGCTCATGCCTGTAATCCCAGTACTTTGGGAGGCCAAGGCAGGCGGATCACTTGAGGTCAGGAGTTCGAGACCAGCCTGGCCAACATGGTGAAACGCCGTCTCTACTAAAAATACAAAAATTAGCCATGCAGTGGCTCACGCCTGTAATCCCAGCACCTTGGGAGGCCAAGGTAGATGGATCATGAGGTCAGGGGTTCGAGACCAGCCTGACCAACTTGGTGAAACACTGTCTCTACTAAAAATACAAAAATTAGCTGGGTGTGGTGGCGGGCACCTGTAATCCCAGCTACCCAGGAGGCTGAGGCAGGAGTATTGCTTGAACCCGGGAGGCAGAGGTTGCAGTGAGCCGAGATCACGCCACTGCACTCCAGCCTGGGCGACAGAGCAAGACTCCATCTGAAAAAAAAAAAAAAAATTAGCCAGGCATGGTGGCGCATGCTTGTAATTCCAGCTGCATGGGAGGCTGAGGCAGGAGAATCACTTGAACCCGGGAGGCGAAGGTACAGTGAGCCGAAATCACGCCACTGCACTCTAGCCTGGGTGACAGATTCTCAAAAAAAGAAAAAATTAGCCAGGCCTAGTGGCACGTACCTGTAGTCCCAGTTACTAGGGAGGCTGAGGTGGGGGGATTGCTTGAGCCCAGGAAGTCAAGGCTGCAGTGAGCTATGATCACACCATTGCACTCCAGCCTGGGCAACAGGGTAAGACCCTGACACAGAAAAGAAATTAAAAAACCTATAGCTCAGAGATGTAGGGGGACTTGCCCAAGGTCATACCAATAGTGGTCAGATAGCTCCCAGCCCTAGGTATCATTTCCTCTTTATACTGTGTTGACACAGAGCAAGTGGCTAGGCGTTATACTGTCTTTTCAGAGCCACCTGATATATTTGCACAGGTTATTCACTGCAGAAGGGAATCCAGTTGAGGGAGCAGGTGGAAGCTGAAATCCAGCCCAGCTTCATTCATGAGGCTGGAAGCCCTGGCATGGGCTGCATCCACCTGAGGAAAGGGTGCCCTGTGCTGATTTGTACCAATTTGCCCTGTGAGCTATATGCACTCACCCCCAACTCCCTGTCTTAACCCAGACTATGAGCCTCAGAAGGAGTGGAGTCCCTGGTCTCCCTGCAGTGGGAACTGCAGCACTGGCAAGCAGCAGAGGACTCGGCCCTGTGGCTATGGCTGCACTGCCACCGAGACCCGTACCTGTGACCTGCCCTCCTGTCCTGGTGAGATGAGCCCCTACCCCTGCATAGGAGTGGCTGGTGCGGCTTAGGCTGGAGGCTTGGTCCCCTGGGAATGTGGGTGGGCTTGGGAGATGGGATGCAGGAAGCTCAAAAACATGGTGGTCCTGCCTTGTCCCAGGCCTATTTTGGCTGCTGTGGGCACTGAGAGCCTATTGAGGTGGGGGGGTTTCCCCATCAGCGGCACTGAGGTGGCCTGCGGAGCCACCAGCCTGGCCTCCTTTCCTCCCAAAGGCACTGAGGACAAGGACACCTTGGGCCTCCCCAGTGAGGAGTGGAAGCTCCTGGCCCGCAATGCTACGGACATGCATGATCAAGGTGAGTGAGGGGCTAGGCTTGCCCCTGGTGGTTTGGGGAACGAGCTCTCAGGGGAGGGTGGGGTATTATTCCATGGCAGGAACCTGGCTTCTTTCCACTAGGCAGAGAGCACAGCTTCCATCTGGAAGGTTTGCTTCTCCAACAGGGGGCCCTGGCATTTCTGAGCCAGCTCATTGGCCTTTCTCAGACTGGTATTCCTACTGGGAAGGTCTTAATGGGAGCGGCAGAGCTTAGAGATCATCTGGTGGGGGCATATCCTATCCTCCCTGGCAGCAGGATAGGGTGGGGACGTTCTGACTTCCATTCCTTGGTTACTCTTGGGAGGCTCCTGGGCAGGCTCTGTCTGGAGAGGGGGATGCAGTGCAGTCAGAAATGGGTCAGTGTGCAGAACTCCAGCATTGCTCCTCCAGGCAGCTGGGCATGGGGCAGGCGTCCACCTGCACACTCTGAGTCTGTGTCTGTTGGTCTTACTTGCACCCTGCAAGGAAGGCAGGGAGACCAACCTTGCAGATAAGGGTTGCACTCAGCACAGCAAGAGCCTACTGAGCCTGCATCATGTGCCTGGCCATGGTGCTGGCACAGGGGATGTCAGCAGCCTGAGGCTTGGTCCATGTCCTCAAGGAGCTCAGGTCCCATGGGGGAAAGACACGCATAACCCATGTGAGCACTGCACTGCAAAGAAGGCCCTAAAGATTTGGGAGCAGAGAGGAAGGAGCAGTTTGTTTTCTGGTACAGGGGTGGGCCTGGGAAATGTGTGTCTCTTCCCCTCTCCTGTGTTACCATTTCCCAGGCTCCTCCTTCACTCCCAGTCAAAACCCAAATCCCAGCATCTGGATCCTGGGGAAGGTTCCAGTCCCTTGGAGATGTGCAGAGCCTCAAACTATCAAAGTCAGTCCCCCAGTGTCCGGGGCTGGACAGCTCATCCCATTAGGATGAGGGCACAGAAGGGAAAATGAGAAACAAGACCCGGTTAACAGCATCCACTCAGGCAGATTCTGGGGAGTGAGGAGCAAGGTTCTGCACATTCCCACGTGGCCAGCCGCCCAAGGCCATTTTTCTTCTTTCTGCTGTTCCCTGGTGACTGCAGTGTTTTCCCCTTCCCTGCTCGCTGCAGGGCTCTGGTGAGTCTGGGGGGCACCTCTTTCTGGTTTATGAAGGCTCCTGGCCTCTGCTGCACTGTGCCATGGGGACCGGGTGAAATGGTGAGACAGAGTCTTGCTCTGTCACCCAGGCTGGAGTGCAGTGGTGTGATCTCAGCTCACTGCAACCTCCACCTCCTGGGTTCAAGTGATTCTCATGTCTCAGCCTCCCGAGTAGCTGGGATTACAGGCATGCGCCACCAAGCCCGGCTAATTTCTGTATTTTTTGTAGAGACGGGACTTTGCCATGTTGGCCAGGCTGGTCTTGAGCTCCTACCTCCTGCCTTGGCCTCTAGAAGTGCTGAGATTACAGGCGTGAGCCATCGCGCCTGGCCCCCCAGCTCTTCTATTTAAGAGAACCTCAGTCAGATGTACTTTAGCCTCAGGTTTTTGTTTTGAGGGATATAATTTATTTTAAAATTAAATAAAAATATAGTTTAAAAAAAGGCCACGTTTCCCGAGGTGGAGATGGGGAGGAGAGCAGCATAGACAGAGGGGGCCACAGGAGGCCCAAAGTGGCCAAATGACTCACCCCAGGCCAGATTGCCTGAGAAAGGCAGCGTTCAGAACAAGAATGGTCCAGTGGCTAAAATAATGAAACCTTCTTACCAGTTGGTGAAAAGCTGCTGTACCTGTCTCCACTCACCCCAGATCCTTTTCCAAGATCTCAGGATCTTTCCCACCATTCAGCACATGACACCTAAACCTTTCCCACCATTCAGCATGTGACATATGGCACCGCAGAGGACATCTGGGTCATTGCTCCAGCCCCTTGGCCTGTGTCTGTTCTGAGCAAGAGCTTCTTGCTTCAGGTTGTCTGGATGGTGTGGGGTAGCCTCTCTCCATCCCCAAGGCCCTACCAAGCCACGCCTTTGCACCAGCTGGGGCCTGGGCCTTCTCTCCCCATGCACTGGCCCTTAATCAGTCCCCGCCCCACACGGGCCTGGCTCTGTCACTGGCTTCCCTCCTGCACTTTGTGGCCCTTTGCAGATGTGGACAGCTGTGAGAAGTGGCTGAACTGCAAGAGCGACTTCCTAATCAAGTATCTGAGCCAGATGCTGCGGGACCTGCCCAGCTGCCCGTGTGCCTACCCACTGGAGGCCATGGACAGCCCTGTGAGCCTACAGGACGAGCACCAGGGCCGCAGCTTCCGGTGGAGGGATGCCAGTGGCCCTCGCGAGCGCCTGGACATCTACCAGCCCACGGCGCGCTTCTGCCTGCGTTCCATGCTGTCTGGGGAGAGCAGCACACTGGCCGCCCAGCACTGCTGCTATGACGAGGACAGCCGGCTGCTGACCCGTGGCAAGGGCGCCGGCATGCCCAACCTCATCAGCACCGACTTCTCACCTAAGCTGCACTTCAAGTTCGACACGACGCCCTGGATCCTGTGCAAGGGGGACTGGAGCCGCCTCCACGCTGTGCTCCCTCCCAACAACGGCCGAGCCTGCACCGACAACCCCCTGGAGGAGGAGTACCTAGCACAGTTGCAGGAGGCCAAGGAGTACTAGTGACGGGGTTGCTGAACAGACACTGCAGGGAGAGGGCAGGCGGCTGCTGCTGTTGCACGGGAGAACTTTCCTCACCCGCCCCTGCCCAGACAGGGTGAGGAAAGGGCTCCCCCAGTGAGGTTGGTCCGAGGCTGTGTGCCCTCTGCCAGCGACCCCGAAGCAGATATCTCAGTGGGGTTAGTGAGAAGGTTGAAGGGTATGTAGGGCCCAGGGTGGGTGTCCCTGGGAGCCCTGGAAATGTGCATATGTGCATGTGTCTGCCGGGGCCTCCCTCTGCTGCCTGCTGGGACCCTGGCCACTCATTTTTCTCCTCCTTGGGAGCTGGGCTCTTCTGCCCTGGCTCTGCACATAAGTGTTAGCCAGCAGCTCCAGAAAAATCCCGATTCCCGGGATCTGCCACGAGTCACTCCTACTCCACCCTGATGGCCAGCAGAGGAAGGGCCACTCTTCTCATGGGCACAGCCATCCTTTGCCGGGGGGGGCATCCAGCCTGGGTGGCCACCCCTCCTTATCTCTGGGTGGTGCACATGCCCTTCTTTCCCCACTCCCTGCCACGAGCCACTGCACAGGAGGCTATCTGTAGCCCCAAGCTGCCTTTCTGTTGGACACCAACTTTAGTCTTGGGCTGCAAGCCAGCCCAGCTGAGGCGAAGTGGACTCCAGGCAGGGAATGGGTTGCCCAATTCTGGTCCCTTTCCTTTGCTCAGCCCCCTCTGTTCTGCTGATTGTAGGGATGTGCAGGGCTGGGAGTTGGCACTCCCCCCGAGTGGGGAGGTGACAGCTTGTCACAGTAGCCAGGCTTGGGTGGGTTCAGCACTAGCTCGGGACGGTGTGTCACACGTCTATAGTAAACCAGTTCTCTGGGAGGGGAAAAAAGCCCTGATTTATTGCATTTGGGCAGCTTCTGTGGTGTAAATTCTCCCAGCAGTGTCCCATGTCATGCTGCCAGCATCACTGAATGCACTGAACTCAGAGTTGGGAAGAGATGCACATAATCGCTCTCCCGGCACACCTCATGCCTCTTCCCTGCCTCCCCATTCCCCTGGCTGCACTTCCTTGCCTTCTATGGGGTTGAAATATTGAAGTCTCAACTGTCTCTGTTCACAAGAGCCACCAAAAGTTAGGGGACTTCAGTCCTAGCCCCCAGATGGCCGCCCTGAAGCTCTCTGGGCTCCTCAGCAATAAAGCACTTTATTTTCAAATTCTGCCTGATGAAGACTTTCGGGCCCCGGCAGAGCGGAGGAGTGTAAGGAACCCTTGCTTATGGTCCAAGTCAAACTCCCATGGGTGTGCTTGTAACTTACTTAACCCACAGCAGGCTCCTTTTCATTTCCTGGACCAGCCGGGCAGGCAGAGCTTGTGGCATGCAGGAGTTAGACTCTAAATATCAGTTATCCTTATTCACACTGCCTAGGAGATGGACGAGGAGCTGGCTGGACCTCAGGGGCACATTCACTCTGAGCTTTGTCAGAGAGGTAAATCACTTTTACTCCACCAGGAAGTAATTTGCTGTCAGGGGATCCAACAAAGAGTTGCCCAAAGAACTACAGCTCTAAGATGAGAGGTGGATCCGTGCTCTGCCTCAGTGGGCACCCCAACTAGACACTCCACTGTCACTCCTGACGTGGGGAAGGACAGGGATATATCAGGAAGCGCAGTAAAGGAAGGTGTGTCCAGAGCCACCACTGGAGACACTCGGAGAGTCAGACATTTCCAATGACCATCACTGCCGGAGGTAAGTTTATTAGTCTGTCCTGAACCATAGTCTAAAAATACTCTACCTGCAACTAGAAATATGAGAGGGTTAGAGAGGGCAGTGTCTCAGGCCGCCAGACAGGAGCCATGCTCACTCCCTTTCTCTTGTCTGAGGAATTCAGTAAGATTAGCACAGGCTAATTATTATTTTTTTTGAGACAGGGTCTCCCTCTGTCACCCAGGCTGGAGTGCAGTGGCGCGATATCGGCTCACTGTAATCTCTGCCTCCCGGTCTCAAGTGATCCTCCCACCTCAGCCTCCCAAGTAGCTGGGACCACAGGCCCACGCCACCACACCCCCGCTAATTTTTTTTGTATTTTTGGTGGAGGTGGGGTTTCGCCCTGTTGCCCAGGCTGGTCTCAAACACCTGAGCTCAAGCAGCCCACCCACCTTGGCCTCCTAAAGTGCTGGGATTACAGGCATGAGCCACTGCGCCCAGTTCGAGGCTAATTATTTTTCAGCAGAAACTTTTAAAAGTAACAAGACAGAGTAATCCCAGAGTCTGCTTTCTAAGGAAACTGCTAATTCCCCTCCTTTCTAATATAACTCACTTTGGCACTTAAACGTACTGTCTTAATCTATATTTAATGGTTTTCTATTACCCATACTGAATTTAGCCAACCCCATTTTAAATCTGTACATTTAAAGTGGCATGCTAAATTGCTACCGTGTCAGGCCACAGATGAGAGAAACTAAACAAAAGGGGCTGGGGAGTGGGTCGGCTATGAAATTACATTTATTCGAGCAATGCAAAGGAGAAAGACACTGCGCAGGTGGCTGCAGGCTTTAGGAGCACCTGTGTGTGAGGAGCAGCGCCAACGGCGGGAGCAGTGAGCCTGATGAAGGGAGGGTTTCCAGAGCAGCTGGTATCAGAGCCCAGAGGAAGCCCATGAAACCAGAGGGTCCCTCCACTCCTTTCTGTTCCAGTGTCAGTCACATCACTGGCTTGACTAGCTGTTCTTCCTGTCCCCAACACCAGGAGTTCATCCATGGCCATGAATCCAGCATGAACACCACTGACTGTTTCTACCTTAACAGCTACCCCAGCAACCAAGATGGTTTTGCCCAATTTTACCCCCTCTGGTTAGCCTCACAAATGGCCCTAGGCTAGGCAAGACTGGTCAGATTGAATGCTTCCTAGAGTTTTAGGTAACCAGCAGTATAGAGTCTGCTGACCTCTGTCAAGAGGTCTTTAAAGAGAAAGAATGATTAGATCCTTTGCCCCATTAGTCACAAAAGGGACCCAAATGTGCTGCTGTGGCTCCTTTACAATGAGGTTTTGTTTTGTTAATATGTTGAGATGCTTCTCAAAGTGCATCCCTGATATTAGAATCACCTGGGGTATTTATTAAACTCTGTTTATGGGCCACACCCCACACCCACTGAGTAAGAATCTTTAGGAGTGGAGTCCACTTTTGTGCATTGTTCTTCCTCTCAGGCATGGAGAGCTCTTAGCCCAAGATACGCAATTTGGATTAAAATTAGCCAGCTTTTCAAAATAGCATTCTGGCTTAAGGGCAAACACTTGGGCTTTTGAATGGATTCAGCAGCGACTATTTGCTAAATGACACCAGGTGCCAGCGTTTCTACATGTATCATCTCGAACGCTCTCACAAGACACCTATTATGCACATTCTACAGATAAGGATATTCACCCAATTTGTTAGGAAGTGGAACTTTTACTATTCAAACACAAAGTCGAAGTCCACAGTTTTATTTCTAGCTATGCCATTTGCTTTTTAGGTCCAGATGGCTTACCAAAATGTTATCAGTAAAATGGCAATGGTAAGAATTGAATAGCCATCAATACTGGCACGTAATGGCAACTGCACATGTCACATGGCAGGCACTTAGCCTGGTGCCTTGGGTTTAATGAACATATTGGTCATCTCTACTTGATTGATTCTAAGTATTCTGGAACTGGTAACTTTCCAGCCAGGTGTGTGTGAAAAGGCTCATTTTTTCTTTTTCTTTTTCTTTTTCTTTTCTTTTTTTTTGTTTTTTGAGACTTGCTCAGTCACCCAGGCTGGAATGCAATCAATGGCGTGATCTTGGCTCACTGTAACCTCTGTGTCCCAGGTTCAAGCAATTCTCCCACTCAGTCTCCTGAGTAGCTGGGATTACAGGCACCTGCCATTATGCCCAGCTAATTTTTGTATTTTTAGTAGAGATGGGGTTTCACCGTGTTGGCCAGGCTGGTCTCGAATCCCTGACCTCAGGTATCTGCCCGCCTTGGCCTCCCAAAATGCTGGGATTACAGGCGTGAGCCACTGCGCCTGGCCGAAAGGGCTCATTTGTTTGTTTGTTTGTTTGTTTGTTTTGAGACAGAGTCTCCGTCGCCCAGGCTGGAGTGCAGTGGCTTGGTCTCGGTTCATTGCAACCTCTGCCTCCCAGGTTCAAGCGATTCTCCTGCCTCAGCCTCCCTAGTAGCTAGGATTACAAGTGCCCGCCACTACACCCGGCTAATTTTTGTATTTTTAGTAGAGACAGGGTTTTGCGATGTTGGCCAGGCTGGTCTCGAACTCCTGACCTTGTGATCCGCCTGCCTCGGCCTCCCAAAGTGCTGGGATTACAAGCGTGAGCCACCGCTCCCAGCCAAAGTCTCATTTTTTTTTAATTAATTTTTTTTTAAATTGTTTTTGAGCCGGAGTCTCGCTCTGTCGTCCAGGCTGGAGTGCAGTGGCATGATCTCGGCTCACTGCAAGCTCCGCCTCCCAGGTTCACGCCATTCTCCTGCCTCAGCCTCCCGAGTAGCTGGGACTACAGGTGCCCACTACCACGCCCAGCTGATTTTTTGTATTTTTAGTAGAGACGGGGTTTCACCGTGTTAGCCAGGATGGTCTCGATCTCCTGCCCTCGTGATCCGCCCACCTCGGCCTCCCAAAGTGCTGGGATTACAGGCGTGAGCCACCGCGCCCGGCCCAAAGTCTCATTTTTAATCGTCTCTGTTAGGAGTCTGTTAGGAAGGGCCTGTTGATTTGATTCAAGCTAGACTCCAGGTTCTTCATCAAAAGGCGTCATTTTGCACCCCTAGGAGGCAGATGTAATGTCAAACTAGATGTGGATTAGTTCAGCCCAGCACTCTTGTAATTCAAGCCAAAGATGGCTTTGGGAAGTGTAAATGAACCAGATCTTGAACTCTGCTTTAACCAGTTTTAGCCTGCAAAGTCTTGCTGCCACCCAATAAAACAGGCAATAAACAGACGAAGGAAATAGCTGTAGCTGCAGGAGGTAGCGTCTGGCTTAGAGAGCACTGACTCCCGCTGGGGTGCAGGAAGTCAGGGCGAGGCTTGTCCAGGAGTGACTCTCCCTGTTCAGGTACTGTTACCTCTTCCTGCAATGTGGCAGTCTGAACCCACTATATCCCCAACACTTGGCTCATGGTCAGTGCCCAGCAAACTTAATGGTACCACATATTGTTAAATAAAGACAACAATTTGCTGAGTATGGGCTCTGCAGTTACAGTCCTTGTTGCAAATCTCAACTCTGCTTGTTGGATCTGGGTGTTAAGAAATCCAAGGCTCACCTGTAGCAAATATGTTATGTAAAATACTTGTTTTTCAAGACAGTCTTATTCTGTCACCCAGGCTTGAGTACAGTGGTGCAATCTTGGCTCACACCTTCTGGGCTCAAGCAATTCTCGTGCCTCAGCCTCCTGAGTGGCTGGGATTACAGGCGTGTGCCACCTCATCAGTTAATTTTTGTATTTTTAGTAGAGATGGGGTTTCGCCATGTTGGCCAGGCTGGTCTTGAACTCCTGGCCTCAAGTGATCTACCTGCCTCAGCCTCCCAAAGTGCTGGGATTATAGACCTGAGCCACTGCGCCTGGCTATATGTAAAATACATGTATTTAAAAGCCAAGGCTTAATTAAGTTCTTGTAAAACAAATGACAACAGTACCTACTGCGTATTATAGAGATCAAATGAGTTAATGCAAGTAAACAGTGTAGTGTCTAGTACTCAGTAACTGCAATGTAACAGAAGCTGCCACAAGTTAGGAATCTCCCACCTTCCCATATCCCAAACCAGCATCTGGTGATCACTTATCTTTGCAAGAGGGTAAGAGGCCATGGGCAGTGCAAAGTGAGAAGTCAACTGCACTGGCAGTAGAGGCATAGTGTTAGCACTCCCTACCCAAGTACCAACCCTCCCCTACTGTTATGGGTAAAAAGGCAGAAACTATTTACTAGTAAGAAAGACTAGCTCAGGAATGCCTGGTAGTGAGAAGCAGGCTCTGTGCCTCTTAATTACCTACACTTACCCAGAATAGAGACAAGGCTGTCCACCCTGTCCTTCTTTTTTGAATTCAAAACCTTCAAGGGAGCTCTCAATACCAGCCACTCAATCAACATAGGTTCCAGACACGCATGTTTTTTAAATTATGTTTATTTAGCATATGTACACATAAAAGAGAAATTGCCCTCTGAACCCACCCAGCAGAAAACATGCACAAACCCAAGGTATATGTGGAAGGGAGGGGCCCCGGCCCCAAGTTAGCAGCTGGGACGATGCAATCCTGTGAGTCGCAAGCCCCAGTCAGGAGAGAGCTGGACTGAAGTGTCCAGCAGGCTGGAGTCCCCTGCCGCTGGCCCTAAAATAAGCGTGCGCCATAGCCAAAGGTCTGTTTAATGCCCTCAAAGTAGTACCGCTGCCAGCCCTGTCGCGTCCGCTCTTCCTCAGGAGCAGGGATGCCTCGACCTTCCATGCACAGCTCAGTCTCTCCGTTCTTGTCGATGAAGGTCAAGGTGATGGTGGCAAAGTGTCCTGGGAAAGGCAGAGGGGACGGAGGTTTCATATCTAGGTTTCCATCTGAGTTTAAGACTGGGGCAACCTGGCTGGGCGTGGTGGCTCACACCTGTAATCCCAGCACTTTGGCAGGCTGAGGTGGGCGGATCACCAGAGGTCAGGAGTTCCAGACCAGCCTGGCTAACATGGTGAAACTCCATCTCTACTAAAATTACGTGGGCGTGGTGGCATGCACCTGTAATCCCAGCACTTTGGGAGGCTGAGGCAGGAGGATCACTTGAGCCCAGGAGTTCGAGACTAGCCTGGACAATGTAGTAGGACCCCATCTCTACAAAAAAAGTAAAAAAGTAAAAAAAAAAAAAAAAAAAAAAAAGCTGGCATGGTGGCACACGTAGTCTCAGCTACTTGGGAAGCTGAAGCAGGAGGATCGTTTGGGTCTGGGAGGTTAAGGCTGCAGTTTGCTGTGATTATGCCACTGCACTCTAGCCTGAGTGACAGTGAGACCCTGTTTCCAAAAAAAAAAAAAAAAAAATTACAGCAAAGAGAAAAAGTTCTGGGGGTAATGGCAATAAATATGTTTACTTACCCTCTGGCCAAGATTTAAACCTCCACTTCATCACAATATGTTTCTCAGGGACCTAAAATAATCAAACAGCTCAGTCTATATTATATACTACAATGTACCCAATCCTAGCTAGGATCAGTCATCTGCCCTTCATACGGAGTCTACCATCTGTGCAATTATATTACTTGCAAGACAGTTCAAATCACAGCCTTTTTTTGAAAAACAAAATGTTTTATTAACAAAGAGATTAAAGCCTTACATTTTACCTATAGAGTTCAGAAAAAGAGAAATGTCACTCATCTGACCAGAGGCAATAACCTGAGTCTAGGGCCGGCAGGTACTCACCAGATCAGTAAATTCCCCAGAGACGTTGCCATCTACCATGTGGAACTTTCCACCTCTGTCTGCTTCTAATGTTGCAGGAGCATGGGTAAAGGCCTGCACCAGCTGCAGGGAAAAAAAAAAAAAAAAAAAAAAAGAGGCAGAAGATACATGGCTTTCAGTGGGACCCAAGGACAAATGCCAGCTGAAGGCTGCATGCCTCAACTCTCATTTCCACCAGTCTGCCCCACAGGCGGGTCCAGGGTGTCCCTCTATTCTGTTTTAATACCAGCCAGGACTTGACTTCGGGAATTCTTTCTGATCTGATGATGCCATTACTTTGGACCCGTTTACTTTTATTTATTTGAAATTGTATATGGTTCAGAAAGATATAAGAATGAGCTTATGAAAGAAAATTCTCAAGTAAATGTTTGAGACTTCTATTATCATTTCTGAGAACATGTCCCAAAATAGATCTATTCCATCTTTTATTTTATTTTATTTTTTTATTTATTGAGACGGAGTCTCACTTTGTTGCCCAGGCTGGAGTGCAGTGGCGCGATCTCGGCTCACGCAACCTCCGCCCGTCCAGGTTTTAAGCAATTCTCTGCTTCAGCCTCTGTAGTAGCTGGGATTACAGGCGCATGCCACCATGCCTGGCTAACTTTTTGTATTTTTTAGTAGAGATGGGGTTTCACCATCTTGGCCAGGCTGGTCTTGAACTCCTGACCTCGTGATCCACCCACCTTGGCCTCCCAAAGTGCTGGGATTACAGGCGTGAGCCACCGCGCCCAGCCCTTTTATTTTTTTTGAGATAGGTCTCGCTCTGTTGCCCAGGCCGAAGTGCAGTGGCATGATCATGGCTCACTGCAGCCCCGACCTCCTAAGCTTAGGTGATCCTCCCACCTCAGCCTCCTGAGGAGCTGGGACTACAGGCGCATACCACCATACCTGGCTAATTTTTGTATTTTTTGTAGAGACAGGGCTTCACCATGTTGGCCAGGCTGGTCTCAAACTCCTGGGCTCAAGTAATTCACCCGCCTCAGCCCCTCAAAGTGCTGGGATTAGAGATGTAAGCCACTGTGCCTGGCCTACTCCATATATATGAAATCAGTATCATTTTGCTGTGTTCGATTACCCAACGGTGCCGCTTTTACTTTTAATAAGACTTTACTATTTTTTAAAGTAGGTAATACGAATACATGGTACAAAATTAAAAATAAACAGAAGGTTAAAAATGTTAGGAATCCTCCCATACAAAAGTATTTTAAAACTCTGAAAACTTTAGCTAGTTTGGAAGCAGAGATTCAACTGAAGTCTGTGTTGAAGTGCTAAATTCAATTCACATGAAGACCACAGCTATGCTGCTAAGTCCTTCAAGGCAGCAGGCACCAAGTAGAACCAAGTTAGCCATCGAATGCAGTCTTTGGCATAGCCAGGTCATAACACATCTCTGGAGTCAACTAAGATAACTTTCTGAAGTACAGTACAATTTTGTTTATACACATCTTTTTAAATTTCTAGAAAACCCAGTCCATTTAATTGCTTCTCCAGTTCTTGGTTTTCTAAGGGGGAGAGAACTTATCACGAGAGTATTTTGGGTGCAGGCGCACAGACATACTAACACCCATATACTACATGGTACCTCTTAATTTATGGCTGTATTTACATTTTTGTTTAAAAAATAAGATCTTGAAATTTTGTCCCAGAGTATATGGGAACTTCCACATATCCTAACCACCTTTACTATCAGATAATAAAGCTGAATACGGTCATGTTTCTCAACTCCACACTATAGCAGCAGAATGGCACAAGTCAGCTGTGCAACACAAAGAAGCCAGGAATTCTTCTGTGCTACAGAGTAACCAAGAATGGCCATTCACTTTTCTAGTAAGATTCACTCAGTGGTTTCTACTTATATGACCCAAAACTGGAACAGGCACGGTAGTGTGCACCTGTAGTCCCAGCTACTCAGGAGGCTGAGGAAGGAGGATCGCTTGAGCCCAGAAGTTCAACGTTAGTCTGGGCAACATAGCAAGACCAGGTCTTTTGTTTTTAAAATAAATAAATATGGCCGAGCACAGTGGTTTGCACCTGTAATCCCAGCACTTTGGGAGGCTGAGGCAGGCAGATCACTTGAGGTCAGGAGTTTCAGACCAGCCCATCTCTACTAAAAAATATGGTGAAACCCCATCTCTACTAAAAAACATAAAAATTAGCTAGGCGTGATGGCGTGTGCCTATAGTACCAGCTGTTCAGGACGCTGAGGCAGGAGAATTGCTGGAACCTGGGAGGCAGAGGTTGCAGTGAGCTGAGATTGTGCCACTGCACTCCAGCCTGGGCAGGTGACAGAGCGAGACTCCGTCTCAAAAAAAAAAAAAGAGAATAGAGGGAGGGAAAAATTCACTTTGATGAAGGCCTCATGGCTCCAGTTGTGAGTTTGTGAGTACCTCTTCTGTACACTGCTGAAGGGATATGCCCCCAACTCAAGTCACCTAGAAGGGCAGATGGCATGAGGCCTGAAGGACAAGACTTACTTACCTCTTGGGTGGTAAACACTCTATAGAGCTCCTCTGGTGACGTCAGGAAGGTTTCCTTAAGAGTGATCTTACAAGTGGGGATTTTGACTCCAACAGGTCTGGCCTGGGTTTTTGAAGGAGCAGGCTTAGCCTGTGAAGGTGGCAGTGAAAATGATCAATACAGAGTAATGATACAACCTCAATCAACGTGGCTTCAGAGACAGTTGTACCATTCATTCTCATAAAAATGTTCACCTCCAAGGGTAATTATTCCAAGGGGTTTGAAGGGAATTTGAGTGTGTAGGTGTTTCAGTCATGAGGGTAATGATTCTGGAAACCTCCTCAATTCCCAGTAAAAATAACCACTCTACAAGGAAGACCCTGATAGTCAAATAACAAATCAAATCATTGAGATATTTTTGAAGAGCTCAGTGTAATTCTCAAACAATTTCTATGTTTAAATAGCTGGAAGCGGTTTTCTCCCCACTTCCAGAGTATCCACTTCACTATGCTGACAAAAGAGCAACAGGGCTCTAAACCAAGTGCTGAGCTTGAACCACAAACTTCCATCTCTAGATAAAGTACTTGCTCACCCTGAAAATTGGGGAGATTGGGTGAAGACAGGGATGTAACTCCATTTCTTGATGGGACCTCTAATATCAAAGTATGAAATATCAACACACCAATTAGACTGAAGACTTATATAGGTGAAGTCCATCCTTTGTTCATAACCTCCTAACTGGTGCTAAATGCAATCAAGAGTCAGACTTTTAACTGTCTGATAGCTCCTACTTGCTCTAAAGGTCTGCGATAAATGAATTAAAACCAGGTTAAAGATGGGTGAATGAATGCATATTGCAGGCGCTCTGAAAAAGCACCATGAGCAGATCGCAGGCTGGTCTGGCTTAGAGGTTAGGGACACAGAGAGCTGATATGTGGAATTAAGAAGGCGGTCTCTCAAGTTCCTTTGCAGACAGTCTCCCACCCCAGGAAAACCATTTACCTTGCGCTCCTCAGTTTTCAGTGCTGGCTGCCCCACTGGGTCTACTGACTCTCCATTCATTGTAGGTAAGATCATGCCCTGGGTGAACTCTGAAAAGATAAAATTCCAGCTCATGGAAGTTACTTCTTAGTAGCTGAGATCTGGAGTTTCATTACAGCTTGACAAACACAGCCATCCTACCACAGAATGAGGTTATGACCAGAAAAGGAAGAGGCTATTTTTACATCTTTACTTTTGGCCTATGCCAGACTGGTACCTGGGTATATGCTATAGAATACAGTATGTTCACTGGGATTATTATTATTTTTTTTTTGAGATGGAGTCTTGCTCTGTCACCAGGCTGGAGTGCAGCCTGCACTCCAACTCACTGCAACCTCTGACTCCCTGGTTCAAGCTATTCTCCTGCCTCAGCCTCCTGAGTAGCTCGGATTATAGGCGTGCACCACCATGCCCAGCTAATTTTTGTATTTTTAGTAGAGACGGGGTTTCACCATGTTGGCCAGGATGGTCTTGATCTCCTGACCTTGTGATCTACTAGCCTCGGCCTCCAAAAGTGCTGGGATTACAGGTGTGAGCCACTGCACCTGGCCACTGGGATTATTTTTAAAAGCTTATCCTGACTCAACTGGAAACATTATAACATATTAAGTGCATGTGAGGTCTACTATGGAAGGATGGCGTGAACGCCGTGGCACTTTGATGACTTCAAGAGTGGGTAATCTACCCAGCACCTATGGATGCATGGTTAGTGCCTTTCCTCCACTCTGCCTTACCTCTGCAGAAAAGCCACAACTAGTTATGGCACTGGTGTACTGGTCCTCCCCAAAAAGGTGTCTATCACCTTCCATCACCTTCTTTGATGGTTATTATACATATTCCAACACCAAGATCAGAATACACTGGCAGAAATGGAATCCCAGGGGAAAGCTGAGCTGACTTCTATTCTAAGCATCTAAATATCCCTGGAGAGTGCATATCAAAGATAGTCCAGACTGTATTCAAGTAATGAGTCCAGAGATGCCAAGTCTTTAGATTAGCGCTGTCCATTAGAAATATAATGTGAGCCTCAAATACAGTTTTTTTTTTGTTTTTTTTTTTTTTGAGATGGAGTCTCCCTCTGTCACCCAGGCTGGAGTGCAATGGCGCGTTCTTGGCTCACCGCAACCTTTACCTCCTGGGTTCAAGCAATTCTCCTGCCTCAGCCTCTTGAGTAGCTGGGATTACAAGCATGCACCACCATGCCCGGCTAATTTTGTATTTTTAGTAGAGATGGGGTTTCTCTATTGGTCAGGCTGGTCTCGAACTCCCGACCTCAGGTGATCCGCCCACCTCGGCTTCCCAAAGGGCTGGGATTATAGGTGTGAGCCACTGTGCCCAGCCCGTAGTGTAATTTATACTCACAGCACATCTCTTGTGTTTTTTGGTCATCCAGGCTGGAGTGCAGTGGCATGATCTCAGCTCAATGCAACCTCCCTGCCTCCTGGGCTCAAGCCACTCTCCCACCTCAGCCTCCCGAGTAGCTGGGATTACAGGCATGGGCCACCGCATCCAGCTAATTTTTGTATTTTTTGTAGAGACAGGGTTTCGCCATGTTGCCCAGGCTGGTCTCAAATTCCTGAGCTCAGGCAATCAGCCCACCTCAGCATCCAACAGTGCTGGGATTACAAGTGTGAGCCACCGCGCCAGGCCATCACAGTACATTTCAGTTTGGTCTAGCCACATCTAAAATGCTCAACCATCATTATTAGGCAACACAGCTCCAGATCTTTCCCTTACTCCGAGCTTATGGACTGACTTTAAGATGAAATAAGCCCCCTCCCCCCAAATCTTTACCCATTTGCCAAAGAAAGGACTGTCCAGGCCCTTAACCAGAGTCTAACAGGTGGAAACTACCTCCTTAAGGCATACAGAACTACTCAAGGGATACCTGTTTTGAGGGTGCTGATGTAAATTCCCATTGCTTCTCTTAGAAGTTTCACCCCTTCTTCCTTCATTAAGGCCACGAGATTTGTGTCAGGCTCATCTTTGGCAAGGCTCACACTAATCTGGGTGAAAGATGAGAAGTAGGTGGTAAATAACTTGAGGGGCACCCTCATTATGGAATGTGGGGGCTGAGCAATCAGGTGACTGCTGACATTTCCAAAGGAAATGCATGAGTACTGCGGTATTCGTACAATCCCCATTAGTGTTCCTTCTTGAGTCCTCTCTGTCAAGTGGCTAATGTTAGTTAGAACCCATGTCACTAGCTAAAGTGAAGAAATTAAAGAAGTGCAAATTGCTCTAGAAGTTTCCAATGGCACCATATGCCTAGAAAATTATCTGCAGGCTAGGGTTCTGAATGCTTGGACCAAGCCTGGGCTATGAATCCTGAATGACAGGTCACTTTTCTCATCTGAGAATAAGAGGATATAGAGGACTCGGATTAGGAGTTATGAAGCACAAACCTCCACTTCATCCACGCTGTTTTCATCAGACAAATTGGGGATCTCCACATGTCCTTTGTATTGTACTCCTGACTTAGAAGTACCTGTCAAAACCAATGCAATGTCATTAGTCCACTCCTTGGCAGGAAAGGTCTCTGCTCCAGGGTCCTAACTGCTACCTCACTTCTGCTGCTTTTGGATGGCTGAACTGATCCTCTTTATTCTGAGAATGCCACATGCCAGATGCAATCAACACCCGCACCCCCAAAAGAAATGTCTTTCCTCACCAGGTTACTGGAAACCAACTATGTTATTACAATGTGAGACAAAGAGCTACAGATTTGGTACTAGCATGAGTTATACCATGAGAACTTGGGTCAAAAGCCAGTAGTTCTGCTAGAATACTTGTTTTGAAAATATCAATTTATTTCAGTGCAACTGAAATATTAGGGAACAATTTGATTATAATGAGAAGTTCATGTTTGCTTATATGTGACTCCATCCATGAGAAACACTAGGTGAATACGGAAAGCCTCACCCAGCTACACAGGATACATAAAACACACACATCTCAAACACCTATCTGCCAATGACCTCAGTTTACAGCGTGTGTTGTGAGCCATACCCATCCTCAACGAGTGTAATGTTCCCTCTGATTGTGGATGACTCTCCTTCTACCATTCCATAGTAGTCCTCAAGCTGCAACCCTTCTGATGCCCACCTTTTCCCCCCGCAAGACAGAGTCTTGCTCTGTCGCTCAGGCTGGATTGCAGTGGCATGATCTTGGCTCATTGCAACCTCCACCTCCCAGGTTCAAGCAATTCTTCTGCTTCAGCCTCCCAAGTAGCTGGGATTACAGGTGCGTGCCACTACACACGGCTAATTTTTGTATTTTTTAGTAGAGATGGGGTTTCACCATGTTGGCCAGGTGTGTCTCCAATTCCTGACCTCGTGATCCACCTGCCTCAGTCTCCCAAAGTGCTGAGATTACAGGCGTGAGCCGCCGCGCCTGGCTTTGATGCCCACTTTCACAAATAAACTTCAGGTCTTTTTCATGGTAAAGCACCATATTTATTGTAGTATTCACCTATTTTTTATTTTTTTTGAGATGGAGTCTCACTCTGTTGCCCAGGCTGGAGTGCAACGGTGCGATCCCAGCTCACTGCAACCTCCGCCTCCTGGGTTCAAGCGATTCTCCTGCCTCAGCCTCCCGAGTAGCTGGGACTACAGGCACATGCCACCACGCCGGGCTAATTTTTTGTATTTTTAGTAGAGACGGGGTTTCACTGTGTCAGCCAGGATGGTCTTGATCTCCTGACCTCGTGATCCGCCCACCTTGGCCTCCCAAAGTGCTGGGATTACAGGCGTTAGCCACCACGCCCGGCCTATATTTATCTATTTCTTACCATTTAATGTGCACAAAACTATGCTACCAATTTTTAGTCCCTATATTAAAAAAAAAAAGCGTCGGCCAGACACAGTTCGAGACCAGCCTGGCCAACATGGTGAAACCCATCTCTAATAAAAATACAAAATTAGCCGGGCGTGGTGGCGGGCACCTGTAATCCTACTTGGGAGGCTGAGGCAGGAGAACTGGTTAAACCCGGGAAGTGGAGGTTGCAGTGAGCCAAGATCGTGCCACTGCACTCCAGCCTGGGTGACGAGCAAAACTCTGTCTAAAAAAAAAAAAAGGAGGTCTGAGCAAGATGACACCGAAGATTCCTTCCACACTACTATGCTTCGAGTGTACTTTAAAAACAAATTAACAAAAATCATGGACAGATAGATCTACTTGCACCCTTCTTTATGATATGACTGTTCACTTCGGAAATGTTTATCAAAGCACAAATTTCATGCTTTGCCCCATACACAGACAGTAGCTATCTCATACTCCCTTAGCTTTAGTGCCTTTTTACATTCAGGCTCCCGACAGTCAGGACTGTCCAAAACGGTCATACGCATGACCTCAATTTTTTCCTAATGTCATACACAAGGGACATAAAACTAGAAGATAGATAAAACAGCCCCAAATTACTGTCACACACAAGCTTCATTAGCGCAGTGGTTTAATCTGTTAAGATTCACACTGAAGACAGTGCACAAAGATCAAGACCAAAAAAATCCTCTCCTTCCTCCTTTTAAATCACTCACAAGATACATGTAGCTAGTCTGAAGAAATATCATCGTAGGTGTCCCAACAAAGACCAAGGCCCAAAGATGCAGTGGCCCGGCCACTTCATGGATGGGACTTATGAGACCCAGACACAGGAAATCCATTTAGCATCCCACAATGGCAAAGAAATTCCAGGACTCGATACTGCTTTACATAGGACTCCAAAGCAGCAACATCTGCCTTCTCCCTTCAAGGTCTGTAACTCCTCAAAACTGTTCTCTCCAGCTACTTAACAGGTTAAACAAAACACAGTTAATCTCTCTGACAGCCCAGCTTAGACTTACCTGTCCAGTTTAGTTTGACGCTCCATTCATAAAAGAAGATAAGTTTCCCTTTGCGATTGTTAATGGATGCCTCTCCATCAAGCTTACTCACTTCCGTCACCTCACACTTGCCTTCTTCATTTTGAACCTGCACTGCCAGGAACAGTGTTTTCAGCTTATCCGTGGACCAATTTGAAGCATCTCTCTCCGTCCTGCAAAGCAGAAACAGAGCTATGAACCAGCAGTCAAACGGAGGATACGCTGCTCTATGCAAGAGAATACGAGGTTAAAGGAGGCCTGACAAATAGTTTGAAAAGAACACAAAAACTCCCAGTCGCACTCCAGTATGTCCACAAACATGTCATTCTTTTTTAGGAAGACAAGGGGTTGCACACTGTCAACAAAGACAGCTGCTGTAGAAAATGGTATAAACTCAATGGAAAATTATGCTCTCCTTTCTCGGCATGATGGTGCGGGGGAATACTTGATACTTTAACATGGCGCCCCCATTTGACCAAGTGGAAAACTGCACATATTGCTGAGATCAGGAACACAGACTGGACCATGAAAGAATAGTACTTAGCTAAAAGGCCCAGAAAGGATTAAACCAATAACCCTGACCTCATTGGCACGGTGTTCTGACCTATCAGATTCGCACTTGCATTATAAACTTCCTACACATTCACTGTCCCCTAGATGGCCACAAAAACGTTAAGTCCAGGGCTTCAAAACAAACAACAAAAATTAGGTCAAGTACTCTGCATGTTAAGAAGAGAGAATACAAAGTGAGATATGGAAAAGAAACATCACTATCTGCCTTCCTACTTATCAACTATTAGAGAAAACAACAGCAAAAAAGGCTGCAACAAAGTAACGGTACAATACAAACATTACGAAAAAAGTTCAGTGGAATTCAAAAATAAGGAAACTAATATTACTTTGGGAAGATTTCATGAAGGAGGGCAGTTATTTTAAGAACGGTCAGGTTATAAAACCACGGCTGCTCGGCAACCTGGAGTTCCAACACACCCGACCTGATAGTTCCGGGTGAGAGGCCGCAGCTATCTGAGCTCTGAGCACCTGCACAACACGTTCTCAATCTCCCGCGGGACCGCTGCAGCGGTCCCCTATGAATGACTTTTAATTTTACCGCAGGCCGCAAAATAGGAATTACAGACCCCTGGCCTTAGGCCTTTCACAGCTATCTCCCAACACAATCAAAGGAGGTTCCAGTCTCAGTGACTCCTCTGGCCACGTGTAATAAGCACCTCCCTGCTCGGGCTGGATGCAGCAGCCAGGGCGTTATCTCCTAGTCTCTCTGACAACCCTCCTCTGGGGCGCAGCCCTCCACGTCCATCTCCCTCCCCTCAAACACTGAGAAGGTGACCGCGGAGTGGAGAGGCCTGGGGCTACGGACCCCTGCCACAGGAAGGACCCACCCCCATCTCCGGACAGGGCTACCTCAGCCCCAGCTCTGTCCGGGCCGAGGTTCTAGGAACCCTGAAACCCTGGCCCGGCCGCAGGTCTCCCAAGGCCGGCCTGCTTTTCTGGCCCTCACCAGTGCCAGTTGTTGACGTTGGTGGCGTCCGCCCGCTCCTCCACGATCCAGCGTGGGTCTCCCTCACCCCACTTGGCCATCGGCTCTCCTATCGCGGCGCCACCAGCTCCGGAGCAGCCGTAGCCACAGCCTCAGGACCGCTTAGTGCCAGCCGCCCGGCAGCGCCTGGAAACTACTAGAAGCGGCCGCAAGCACCTCCTGGCTTGCTTTTCCCTCCACCCCCTCCCCTCCTTAACTTCCGGCTCCTCCCCACTCCCACCGGTTACTTCCGTCCCAACTCGCCGCACCGTGGGTTCCGCCTGATTTAGAGATCCTTCAGACTCCATCGGGTTCTCCCCAAAAAGCGTCCCGAAACCCAACTGCTCATACAACCATTCCTCACCCATAGGAAAACAAAGAACACGTCTCATTGCTTCCCTGGACCCTAAATCGCCCTTGCTGAGCCTCATGGGAATTGTAGTCTTGCTACGTGACTCGCTGGATAACCGCGGAAGGTCTCGCGGAAAGGAGAGGAAATGACCTAGCACGGTGCTTGGGGTTTCTGGGGGCTGTAGTCAAGAAGCCTTGTGGTTCGTCGGGACAGCGCCTGACAGCAGAGGCAGAAGAAACTACGACTTCCAGCATGCCCTGCGGTCTCGTTATTCGTGTTTTCTCTCCGCCCTACGATTATTCCCTTCCGCCCCCTTCTCTAAGCTGCACAGCCTGAATAGAAGGGCTGGTCCAGCGGCGGCGGAGGCTGGCGCTGTCCTGAGAGGGAGGGCTCTGTGCGGAAGAGGTGAGGGTGTCCCAAGCCCCTTGGGTCGCGTATCTGGCTGGATCCAGCCTCTCCGCATCTTGATCTTTTCCCCTCTTCTAGGAGGCATCCCTACACCCTATGACTACAGGCCTGATTCTCTTCTTTCAGTCAGGGCGACCCTTGGGCGCTGGAGTACGCTTGGGACTGGGGCTGCGAGTGAGCACCAGCGATTGGTTCGGAAGCGGACATTTGGTTCAGAACGAGCATTTAACTCTGCCAGGGATCCGCTGGGCTCTGACGACTGCGGTAGATCCATGGCTTCCTGGACGTTCACCCGTAGAGTCATCCTAGCTTAACTCTTGTTCCCTGGTCTCAGTTCACAAGCCTCACCTGTATCTTCCTGGCTCGGAAGATAATTGAAACCAAGTCTGACTTCTCAGTAGGTGGTTTTTGGAGTTTTCTGAGGCAGGGAGCATGTTGTGGTTTTCTTGCTGATTCTTCTGTTTTCCTTTGTAAAGTTCCTGTTCTCCCCTGAGGTCTCTCACCCTGCCTTGTGGGCTGTCAGTAAACAAGAGACGATAAAGACAAACCTCTGAAGTATTTTAAATCATGTTGAAGCACCTGTCACTCTTAAGAGTGACAATCGTACCTGATTACTTTATAACTCTAGAGCCACTAGATCATTATCTATACTTGCCAAGTAAACCTAGCTTCTCATTTGGCGTTATAAATACAAATTGATGGCAGTTGTCTACTGCCATTGCATGGTTAAAAAGATTCCAGAAATCCTCTGGTAGATTATTGTGTTTGTTAGACACATTCTATGTCTATCTGTAGATAATTACTATAGTGAAGGAATGATCTCTAGTTTTCTGGAAAGTGAAAAATAGGTAGAAGGACCATGCAAGACACTAGAAATGGTCTAGGAGCCAGAAAGCCTGGATTGTAATTTGAAATAGGAGCATTTAACAAAGTGGCTTTGATACTGAACTCTTTTGTGCCTCACTTTCCCCATGAGTAACATGGAAATGGAATCTCCCAGGCCTACCTTACAAGATTGTTCTGAGGATCAAACGAATGACAGAGTGATTTATGAACTGACATGTGTGCCAGAGACATTTATATGTTCTATACACATCTTCAGCATTTGTGGCTACTCAGAATTTTTGTATTTTTTTTAATCTTTAGGATTGCTAAAAAATATTTTCTTTTTTAGCTTTTCCCAAGGTACCAGGATGATGTATTAATAATAAAAGTTACTATTGAGTGTTAATTTTGGGTCAGGCACTAAGCACTTTACATGTATTAACTGGTTTACTCCTCAGAACCATTTCTAAGGTAGGTCATCTGTTATGCCCATTTAACAGACGGGAAAACCAAGACAGAAAAATGTCAGTATGATATTCCATATTAAAAGGAAATAACATTTAGTATTTACTTTCTGCTAGACACTTTTATAGATGTTCCCTGCAACCCTGTGAGATAGGATATAATTTTCTCCAAGGCTTAGAAGTAAAGTCATTTATCCACTTTGCTCAGAATTAAGAGAAACCAGGATTTGAACTCAAGGTTGCCTGACTACAATGTCTGTGTGGGATGATTTCATGGTGTCTGCCAGCATTTTTGGTTTATCTCCCTAAAATTAAATACAGAAAAGGATTTTTAAACAACCCTGTACCAGTAGAAATCAATTAGTGATGTCTGCCGTGAGAAGGGACCAGATAGTAGAAAATCCCCACAATACCCTTGCTATCCCTATATCCCCTGAGTTGAAAACAAAGTCAGGAAGTAACAGTAGAGTATCTTTAAGGGCTATCAAAAGCCTCAACAGGACTACCATGACAAGGCTTTTCTCAAGCTTTTATTGATGAAGGTGCTATTAAAAGGAAAAGCAAATGGTTCTTTTAGAACTTGATGCTGTTTAGCCTTTACAGTTATTTTTGGTGCTGTGGGAGTTTTATACCCAGTCCTTGGCTTAAATCATAGTTTTCATTCTAATCCTGTTGGCATTGATAGTTTACTTTGTAATTCTGTTTCCTTATTTGGAGATAGGGAGGGTCTCACTGTGTCACCCAGGCTGGAGTGCAGTGGTGTAATCTCAGCTCATAGCAGCCTCGACGTCCCAAGCTCAGGTGATCCTCCCACCTTAGCCTCCCAAGCAGCTGGGACTACGTCACCATGTCCAGCTAGTTTTTTGTTTTGTTTTTTAAATTTTTTTGTAGAGACAGTTTTACAATGTTGCCCAGGCTAGTCTTGAACTTGGGCTCAGGTGATCCTCCCACCTCAGTCTCCCAAAGTGCTGAGATTACAGATATGAGCCACTGTGCCCTGCCTAGTTTGTAATTCTAGGGCAAAACTTGTTTTTGCAGGGCAAAATTGAATTTTATAGTAGTTATAACAGGGACTTGTGGTCTTTTGACTACTTCTTTATATACTTGCTTTTCTTGGCCATCCCCTCATTTCTCAAATTTTGGCCAACAGTTGTTAATAAAATAGTCATAATTTGAAGATTTAGGTGAGATAATTCTGCTTCTTTTAATTGCTTTGCTTTCCGTTCTTTCAGGCATTTAAAAAGCATACATGAGGGTGGAATATTTGTTCATTCACTGTAGTATTCCCAGAGCCTAGAACAGTGCCTCAGAGATGGTGCTCAATAAGTATTTGTTGAAAATGTGAATGCAATTTTTGTCTGTTTTGTGCATGTTCTGATTGCTCTTCCTTGTGTATTCAGCAAAGTTTTTTGATAGATTCTTATAACATTTGCCTGCCTTGCACTGTTGCTTTTAATACATACCTATGCTGAATGCCCTAGCTCTGTTGTAGGGTCCCCACGTCTGACACTTTTTTTTTTTTTTTTTGGAGACGGAGTTTCGCTCTTGTTGCCCAGGCTGGAGTGCAATGGTGCGATCTCTGCTCACCGCAACCTCTGCCTCCTGGGTTCAAGCGATTCTCCTGCCTCAGCCTCCTGAGTAGCTGGGATTACAGGCATGCGCCACCATGCCCGGCTAATTTTGTATTTTTAGTAGAGACGGGGTTTCTCCATGTTGGTCAGGCTGGTCTCGAACTCCTGACCTCAGGTGTTCTGCCTGCCTCGGCCTCCCAAAGTGCTGGGATTAAAGGCCTGAGCCACTGCACCCAGCCTCTGGCACTTTTTTATATACCTTACAACACCTGAGAGAGTGCCCTGGACAAAGTGGATGCTCTTAAGAATGGATGACTACTTATGGGTAATTAGAAGATTAGAAGTATGATTTGATCAGTTGGAGACCCAAGAATCTGGTTTTATATGGCAGGTTCAATATTTGTTTTACCAGATTCTTTTCTGCATCCTTGATTTTTGGGATCAGTTAGTGGTGCAGGAAACTAAAGCTTTTGGAACTCTTTAGGGAGAGACCCAGAAAGGGGCAATGTATGTTTTCCTGTCACTGTAGATGAATCGGACAAAGGGTGATGAGGAGGAGTATTGGAACAGCTCCAAGTTCAAGGCTTTTACCTTTGACGATGAAGACGATGAGCTTTCACAGGTAGGTCAACTGCTGAAGTTTGTACTCTTCTCCACAGTGCCACTATAAAATTCCTTCCTCTTGCATTCTGGGTAACTAGGCTTTTGACCATGTATGTCTTCATTAGGCTCAGAAAAGAGCCAGAAGGATTGTAAAATCCAGCTCACTGCCTTTCTTACTTTACCTTTTTAAGATGATTTATTCCTACAGGTTTTTTTTTCTTTTGAAGAACCCCAAGTCTTTTATTTATGTGATATATATTTTTTTATTTTTGAAAGATGAACTGGATTGGAAGATTTATCTTTGTTGTGTCTATTTTGCAATTGAGGAATCATTTATTTTTAGAGAGGTGAATAAATTCACTCAGGTTTACATAGCAAGTCACTGCCAGGAATATGATGAGAATTCAAAAGTGACTTTGATTCCTCCTAACTCTTTTATCACTGGACTGTAGTGTTGGCTAAAAATCAGTTTGTTTTCTTGGCAAATATGTAGTATGCTAGGCTTTCGATTGCACAGGGCGAGTGTTGGCCACCTTCAGGCCCCAATTCCTCAGCCTTCTTGATTGTCAGAAGAGAGGTGGGAAATGATGATTTGCCTGAGCACCCTAGCCTTGTGTCCCTCTGCAGTTAAAGGAGTCCAAGCGGGCGGTGAACAGCCTCCGAGACTTCGTGGATGATGATGACGATGATGACCTGGAGCGAGTCAGCTGGAGTGGGGAACCTGTGGGAAGTAAGTAGAAGAGTCCCTAGGCAGGGATAGATGTTGAGGATTCTTATCACTGATAAAGGCTCTACTTGTTTGTTTCTTCAATGCTAGTTAGGAGAGGGACTAGGATAAGACTATTTTCAGATAAGCATACATCTGGAAACTTAACTCCAGGAGAAGATACTTGGGAAATCCAGCAGGAGTTCCCACATGGCTATATAGGTCTGCTCTTCAGGGGTTGACTCTTAGCTGGCTATTTCATTCTCATTTGGGGTGCTTGTTAAAATGACATACTCCTAGGCTTTATCCCAGAGATTCTGTTCATTAGGTCTTCTGCGGAGTAGAGGGGGTCTCAAATTTTAATAAACACTGCAGGTGATTCTGATATATAGCCATATTTGGGAACTACTGACTTGACTCAGTATACTAATAACTGATTGACAGAACGGACTTCCTTACCCACCAAGTCTCACTGCTTAGCTGTATATGATACCACTTAATACTTTTTCAGAGTCCATTTGATTTTTTTTTTTTTTTTTTTTTGAGATGGAGTCTTACTCTGTTGCCTAGTCTGGAGTGCAATGGCGCGATCCTGACTCACTGCAACCTCCGCCTCCCAGGTTCAAGCGATTCTCATGCTTCAGCCTCCCTAGTAGCTGGGATTAAAGGTGCCAACCACCATGCCTGGCTAATTTTTGTATTTTTAGTAGAGATGGAGTTTTACCATGTTGGCCAGGCTGGTCTTGAACTGCTGACCTCAAGTGATCCGCCTGCCTTGGCCTCCCAAATGCTGGGATTATAGGTATGAGCCACCATCCCTGGTCCCCATCTGATTTTTAAGAAATATTTTTAATTGAAAGTTTTTAAAAAATAGGCCATACTATAATGTGACTAAAGATTAAAAAAAAAAAATTAAAGGTCTACAGTGAAAAGTTTCCGTTCCATATTGTTATGTATCTTCTCAGTTTTCAGTTCATGTCCTCCCAAAAAACAATCGTTGCTTGGTTCCTGTGTATTCATCTAAAGACTCTTTTTGCATCTGGAAAAGTATATAGAAACATGTATTCTTATCCCATTTTTACACAAGCAGTAGCATGCTTCATACCTTGCTCTTTTTATGTGTTAATATAGCTTGGAGATCTTTCCATGTCAGTATATAAAGAGTGTTCTCATTTTCTCTTTCTTTTTTTTAAATAGCAGCATAGTATTAAATTGTATGGGTTTACCATCATTTTTTAGCCAGCCCACTGTTGAATTTTAGATTTTTCAATCTTTTGCTCTTTATATTTCTATCATTGACTTTATATTCTGACCATAGATGCATAAATGAAAGAGCAATTCTTAGAGTGGAATTACTCACATAGGATGTTTGCATCTGTATTGGGTAGATATTGCCAAATTGACCTCCACAGGGGTTGTACCAATTCATACTACCACCAGCAATGGAGGAGGGTTCCAGTTTCCCTATAGCCTGGCTAACACGGTATTATCAAGCTTTTGGATCTTTCCCCATCTTATAGGGGACTAATGGTTTCTCATTATATTTTTAATTTGTAGTACTCTTAGCAAAGCTGGGGGCAGGTGGTGTGTGCCTCTGGAGGGTAGTGGCGATGGATGGCTTGAGGCCAGGAGTTGAGGCTGACGTGAGACATGACTGTTAGATATGATTGTGAATAGCCACTGTACTCCAGAGCTCCGGCAATGTAGTGAGACCCTGTCTCTAAAAAAAAAGAAAAAAAGAGAAAAAAGAGTAAGGTTGAGCATCTTTTCATATGTTGAAGAGCCATTTGAATTTTCTGTGATCCACCTATTCATGTCCTTGGTCCATTTTTCTGCTGATTAGTCTATTTGATTCTATCTTTTCTCCCTGCCCCAAGTTGGCCAAGGGACCAGGGCTTCTGGTGAAAAGCTTTTAGAGTTTATTGAATGTTGGATGTCAAGGCTTTATTGTGGATGAGAATTGCTGATGTAGTTCTTACTATCTCACAGGTATCTCATGGTCCATCAGAGAGACTGCTGGTAATAGCGGCTCAACCCACGAGGGGCGTGAACAGCTAAAGAGCCGAAACAGCTTCTCCTCCTATGCACAACTACCCAAGCCTACTTCTACCTACTCCCTGAGCAGCTTTTTTAGAGGTAAAGAGAGATGCTTAAATGGATAGGGAAGTCCTTCTCTTTTTCCAGAAAAATCTTAGGCCATAATTTTCATTTACTTTGTAAGAAAAAGATTATTGAAGGGTAAAGCATTCTCATTGGAGGTGGCAGCTGGGTGTTAGGAGCGAGATAAATGAGAGAAATTCAGAGGAGTTGGACTGGTTTTCTATAGCATGATGAATGAAATTGACATTAACCCTGTGACTGGTACTGAAAAAATTTGCCTAGATCAAAATTCCTCCCTACTCCTTGTGCATTGCTGTTGGAAAACCTTGTTGGTGGGAATGCCAAATGGTGCAGCCACCGTGGAAGACAGTATGGTGGTTTTTTAAAAAAAATTAAACAGTAAACATATAACTGGCTAGGCGTGGTGGCTCACGCCTGTAATCCCAGCACTTTTGGGAGGCTGAGGCAGGTGGATCACCTGAGGTCAAGAGTTCTAGACCAGCCTACCAATATGGTGAAACCCCGTCTCTACTAAAAATACAAAAATTAGCCGGGCATGGTGGGGGCTTCTGTAATCCCAGCTGCTCAGGAGGCTGAGGGAGGCAGATTGCTAGAACCTGGGAGGCAAAGGTTGTAGTGAACCGAGATTGCACTACTGCAGTCTAGCCTGGGTGACAGAGCAAAACTCCATCTCAATAAATAAATAAATAACATATGATCTAGCAATTTTACTTCTGGGTATATCTCAAAAAGAATGGAAAGCAGGTACTTGAACATATATTTGTACCTCCATGTTGATAGTAGCATTATTCACAATAGCCAAAAGATGGAAACAACCCAAATGTCCATTGATGGATGAATGGATAAACAAAATGTGCCATATACATGCAGCGGAATGTTACTCAGCATTAAAGAAGAACGACATTCCCATACATGCTGCCATATGGATGATCCTTGAGGATGTGATACTAAATAAAATGAGGCACAAAGGGACAAATATTGTATGACTCCATTTACGTATGACCTAGAATAGTCAGATTCATAGAGACAGGAAGTAGAATGGTGGTTACCAAGAGCTGGGGTGGAGGGAATGGAGAGTTATTGTTTAAAGGGTGTAGAGTTGGTTAAAGGGTAGAGAGTCTCAGTTTGGGATGATGAAAAAGTTCTGGAGATGGATAGTGGTGATGGTTGTACAACAGTGTGAATGTACTTAATGCTACTGACTTATACACTTAAAAATGGTTAAAATGGTAAATTTTGTTATGTATATTTTACCATAATTAAAAAAAATTTTCTCCCTGCTCCATTTTTTAATGGCACTTCAGATTTCTACAGATGAATAAAACCTTTTTTAAGCCTTAAGTTCCTATATTGCGTTATTGAGTTGGTTACACATTGTGTCTTTAACCAAGCCTGGATGGCTCTGATTGAAACTGTTGACCTTTTCCCTCTTGTGTTCTTTACCTTTAGGTAGAACTAGACCTGGAAGTTTCCAGTCCCTTTCTGATGGTAGGCATTGAACCCTCTTTTAATTGCTGTGGGAAATGTTACTGATCTGGTACAGTCTGGGGAGTTATGGGGACAGGTAGTAATTAGATGACAAGATGAACTTTCTTCTGCATCTACTGTCATTATTAGAGGAATTTTCTGATACTGACTAAGGAGGTAGAAATCATTCTAGCTACAGGGGCAAAGGTGACTTCTAGGGATGCTGTCTTTGGGGAAGAACGGAGATCTGCTTTTGGCCATAAAGTTAACATTGGGAGCCCACAAGTCAAAAAAATGT
Organism: Homo sapiens; assembly: GCF_000001405.40. NCBI lineage: Eukaryota > Metazoa > Chordata > Mammalia > Primates > Hominidae > Homo > Homo sapiens. The sequence continues at coordinate 77,449,436 of NC_000014.9, read as the reverse complement.
GAGAACGAAGAAGTAGAGGGAAGGAATGACAAGCAGGATTCATGGTGCCCTTCTGAACCAGCTGCTTATTCTTTTTCAGCTCTGTCAGACACACCTGCCAAAAGCTATGCTCCAGAGCTGGGGAGACCCAAAGGGGAGTATAGGGTGAGTTACAGCATACACTGGTGTGACACTTTCCACAGTATAAAGTACCTTGACATATGTTACCTGGCTTGATTTTCCCAACTATTTGAGTAGATATTTTTTTAACCCTGTTTTATAGATTAGAAAACTGGGTTTCTAAACATGAGGGCTTACCTGGGGTCTCAGAGCTGGGAAAGGGTGCAACTTAGACTTATAATCTCTATATTCTGACTCAGCTCTGCCATACTTTGCTTACTCATTATGCTCCCACTTGAAGGCTGTACTTTGAAACCCAGTGATCATCACTGCAGTCTGGAAGCCTGGTAGAGCTCATATTCCCATGAAACAAATAAAGCAAATTGATTCATAAGGAAGAAACCATATCCTAAGGTCGGAAAAGGAACATGTCTCCAACATCTCTCTCTTTCCTTCTGTTGGCCAAAGGCATTAATTGTTAGAATCCTAAAACGTGATTCTAATTCATCTAGAGGTTGCAGTCCTGAACTGGTAGGCATGGGGCTACTGGCTTTGTCAATTGGCTCCTCCCTCTTTGATCCATCTCCTCCTATCTATATTGCCCCTGCTCTAGTTCCTTCAGAAACTCAAAACAAAACCGTCCCATTTCTTCATTTTTTTCACATCCATTCCCTCCCACAAATTATTTCCCCCTTAGACACTAAGACTGAGTTTGAGTTGAGGAGCGGGTATGCTGATAAATTTGATTCCTTAACTTCCTGGGATTCACGTATTGCTAATATTCCAGGATTACAGCAATGACTGGAGCCCCAGTGATACAGTGCGACGTCTCCGGAAGGGCAAGGTAAGGACAGAGAATTTTTGTGAGGTTCTTTGGGAAGCTGGGCAGCTTGTTCACACAGGGAAGATTTCTTGACCTCTCTTCAGTTCTCATTTGTTCAATGAATTTCAGGGGGAAAATAAATCCACTAAGGTTGAAAGTCAGTGGCAAAATTTCTGATTCTCCATTACTGTTGCTTTGATGGGGTAGTGGGGAAAGAGTGATGGATGAGAGGGAAAAGTACATTTAAGAGTGAGAGGCCAGGGCCAGGGGTGGTGGCTCACGCCTGTAATCCCAGCACTTTGGGAGGCCGAGGAGGGTGGATCACGAGGTCAAGAGATCAAGACCATCCTGGCCAACATGGTGAAACCCCATCTGTACTAAAAATATAAAAAATTAGCCGGGTGTGGTGGCAGGCACCTGTAGTCCCAGCTACTCGGGAGGCTGAGGCAGGAGAATCACTTGAACCCAGGAGGTGGAGGTTGCAGTGAGCTGAGATTGCACCACTGCATTTCAGCCTGGTGAGTGAGACTCCGTCTCAAAAAAAAAAAAGAGAAGCCGGGCATGGTGGCTCACGCCTGTAATCCCAGCACTTTGGGAGGCCAAGGCAGGCAGATCACCTGAGGTCAGGAGTTCTAGACCAGCCTGGCCAACATGGTGAAACCCCATCTCTACTAAAAATACAAAAAATTAGGCGGGCGTGGTGGCGTGCACCTGTAATCCCAGCTACTCGGGAGGCTGAGGCAGGAGAATCACTTGAATCTGGGAAGTGGAGGTTGTAGTGAGCTGAGATCGTGCCACTGCACTCCAGCCTGGGCAACAAGAGTGAAACTCCGCCCCCCTGCCCAAAAAAAGAGAGTGAGAACAATCTTTTATGTTAGATCTGTGATTCATTGAGTTCATTTTTGCATATGGTGTGATGTAAGGGTTTGAGTTTAATTGTTTTCCCCATGTAGATCTCCATTTGTTCCAGCACTATTTGTTGAAAAAACTATCCTTTCCCCATTGAATTATCCTGCTGATGCTTTTGTTGAAAATCGGGCCAGTCACAGTGGCTCATGCCTGTAATCCCAGAACTTGGGGAGGCCAAGGTGGGAGGATCTGTCGAGCCCAGGAGTTCAAGACTAGGCTGGGCAACATAGTGAGACCGTGTCTCTACAAATGATAAAAAAAAAAAAATTAGCCAGGTGTGCGGCCGGGCACGGTGGTTCATGCCTGTAATCCCAGCACTTTGGAAGGCCAAGACAGGCAGATCACCTGAGGTTGGGAGTTTAAGACCAGCCTGACCAACATGGAGAAACCCCGTCTCTACTAAAAATACAAAATTAGCTGGGCGTGGTGGCACATGCCTGTAAATCACAGCTTCTCAGGAGGCTGAGGCAAGAGAATCGTTTGAACCTGGTGGCCGAGATTGTGCAATTGCACTCCAGCCTGGGCAACAAGAGCGGAACTCCATCTTAAAAAAAAAAAAGCCAGGTGTGGCTAATTTATAATATAAATGTATATTATAATTTATAATTATAAATATATAAATGTAACTTATAATCTTATAGCAGGATATGTTTTTAGTCACAGTTGCTTGAGAGGCTGAGATGGAAGGATTGCTTGAGCCCTGAAGGTCGAGGCTGCAATGAGCCGAGATTGTGCCACTCCATTCCAGCTTAGGCAACAGAGCAAGACCCTGTCTCAAGAAGAAAAAAATAAGAAGAAAATTAATGATCATATATGTGTAGGCCTATTTCTGGACTCTTTATTCTAGTTCATTGGATTATTTATCCTTAAGCTAATACTACAGTCTTGATTATTATATAAATGTTGAAATCAAGATACTTCAACTTTGTTGAAGCTTTCAACCTTCAATGTTGTTCTCTTCCAAAATTGTTTTGGCTGTTCTAGATCCTTTATACTTCCATATCGATTTTAGTAGCACCTTGGCAGTGTCTACAAAAGAGTTGTTGAGATTTTTATTGGGATTGCCTTGAATGTACAGATCAATTTTGGTAGAATTGGCAATGATCATAATAATTAATGGATCAAAATGGATCATAATGCCAGGTGTGGTGGCTTGTGCCTATAATCCTAGCTACTCAGGAGGCTGAGGCAGGAAGATCAGTTGAGCCCTGGAGGCTGAGGCTGCAGTGAGCTGTGATTGCATCACTGCACTCCAACCTGGGCGAGAGAGCGAGACCCTCTCTCTAAAAAAAAAGCAGATAAAATGGATTATACTTCACAGGTTCTAAGGATTGGGAATGAAAAAATGAATAAATAAAATGGATCATAGACCTAAATGTAAATTAATTGTTAAAGCTATAAAACTTCTAGAAGAAAATATAGACGAAAATCTTTATGATCTTGACTTAGGCAAAGATTTATTACCTAGGACACAAAAAGCATGAACCATAAATGAAAAAATTGATAAAATGGACTTCATCAAAATTTAAAACTTTTATTTTTTTTTTAGAAACCACTGTTAAAGCCATGAAAGGACCACCATAGCTCAGAGAAAGTAGTTTCAAAACACGTATATTATAAAGGACTTTCATCCAGAATATATATAAAACTTTTTTTTTTTTTTTTTGAGATGGAGTCTCCTTCTGTCGCCCGGGCTGGAGTGCAGTGGTGCGATCTCAGCTCACTGCAACCTACGCCTCCCAGGTTCAAGTGATTCTCCTGCTTCAGCCTCCTGAGTAGCTGGAATTAACAGGTGTGTGCCACCATGCCTGGCTAATTTTTGTATTTTTAGTAGAGAGGAGGTTTCACCATGTTGGCCAGACTGGTCTCAAACTCCTGACCTCAGGTGATCTGCCTGCCTTGGCCTCCCAAAGTGCTGGGATTATATGCGTGAGCCACTGTACTTGGCCAGAATATATATAAAACTTTTATTAAACCTGGCAATATAGCAAGACCCCATCTCTACAAAATAAAAATTAGCCAGGTGTGATGGCACTTACCTATGGTCCCAGCTACTCAGGAGGCTTGAGGTGGGAGGATTGCTTGAGCCCAGGAAGTCGAGGCTGCACTGAGCCATGATCATGCCACTGCACTCCAGCCTGGGCAATACAGTGAGACCCTGTCTCAGATAAAACAACAACAACAACAAAACTCTTAGCTTAGTGATAAGTACAGTCTGATAAAAAAATTGGCACAAGAGTTGACCAGACACATCACAAAAGAAGATACATGAATGACCAATAATCACTTTAAAAGATACTTAAAATTATAGTTATCAAGAAAATGTGAGTTGAAACTATGAGATACTGGCTGGGCATGGTGGCTCACGCCTGTAATCCCAGCACCTTGGGAGGCTGAGGCAGGTGGATCACGGGGTCAGGAGATCAAGACCATCCTGGCTAACATGGTGAAACCCTGTCTCTACTAAAAATACAAAAAAATTAGCCGGGTGTGGTGGCAGGTGCCCATAGTCCCAGCTACTCGGGAGGCTGAGGCAGGAGAATGGTGTGAACCCGGGAAGCGGGGCTTGCAGTGAGCCAAGATTGCGCCACTGCACTCCAACCTGGGCGACAGAGCGAGACTCCGTCTCAAAAAAAAAAAAATCACTGAACTATATACTTAAATAGGGTATGTTTTACTGTATGCAAATTATGAATAAGGGTTCTTAAAAAAGAACAAGTGATTGGCTGGGCGCGGTGGCTCATGCCTGTAATCCCAGCACTTTGGGAGGCTGAGGTGGGTGGATGACGAGGTCAGGAGATCGAGACCATCCTGGCTAACACAGTGAAACCCCGTCTCTACTAAAAATTAAATTACTAAAAAAAAATTAGCCGGGCATGGTGGCGGGCACCTCTAGTCCCAGCTACTTAGGACGCTGAGGCAGGAGAATGGTGTGAACCTGGGAGGCGGAGCTTGCAGTGAGCCGAGATTGAGCCACTGCACTCCAGCCTGGGTGACAGAGCAAGACTCCGTCTCAAAAAGAACAAGTGATTTCTGTTGACTTTATCAAGACTTCAGGACATTAGCATCTTATAGGGCAGCAGGCTGAACTAGAGAGGGTGGTGGGAGCCAACTGTTTTATAAGTGCTGGGGACCATAGGGTAAAAATAAAGAGACTCTCCTTGGGGACATTTTGTTTCATTATTGCTTATTCTTTAGTATCCAGCAACAAAGGAATAAAGAAAACTGTCTTCTTGTGTACTAATTCTAGTGTTATTCTGCCAGGTTTGCTCACTAGAGAGATTCCGCTCCTTACAGGACAAACTACAACTCCTAGAAGAGGCAGTAAGCATGCATGATGGAAACGTCATTACTGCAGTGAGTTGTCGGATTTGTTGTTGTTTGTTTAATTATTGTTTTCACTAGTTTCTGAAAATCCAATCAAATAGACTAACATTTTGTGTTAAATGTTAAGTAAAGATCCTGGATTCCCCTTGGAGGTGTAGGATTCTAAGTAATCTGTGCTTTAAGGGCTTAGCTGGTGCCACATGCACTAAGCGTGGAACCCTGTTTTTTTTTTTTTTTGGAGACAGGGTCTTGCTCTGTTGCCCAGGTTGAAGTGCAGTGGTGTGATGATGGCTCGCTGTAGCCTCGACCTCCTGAGCTTAAGTGATCCTCTCACCTCAGGTCCCCGAGTAGCTGGGACCACAGGTGCATACCACCATTCCTGGCTAGTTTTTTTTTTTTTTTTTTTGAGATGGAGTCTCACTCTGTCGCCCAGGCTAGTGTGCAGTAGGACAATCTTGGCTCACTGTGTGATACTCCTGCCTCAGCCTCCCAAGTAGTTGGGATTACAGGCGTGGGCCACCATGCCCAGCTAATTTTTGTATTTTTAGTAGATATGGGGTTTCACTACATTGGCTGGGCTGGTCTCAAACTCCTGACCTCAGGTGATCCACCAGCCTCGGCCTCCCAAAGAGCTGGGATTATAGGCGTGAGCTACCACGCTTGGCCTTGCCTGGCTAATTTTTAAATTTTTTTGTAGAGACAGGGTCTTGCTATGTTGCCCAAGCTGATCTCACACTCCTGGGCTCAAGTAATCTCCCTGCCTTAGCCTCCCAAAGTGTTGGAATTATGGGCATGAGTCACCATGCCCAGCCTATGTGAAACCGTTGATTGTAACCAAGACACACAAGGTTGGCTACTATGTGTTATATAAAACAATCTGAGGGAGAAGAGATGTGAGCGTATCCTCTTTCAGAGGGAGGTGTCTCTCAGCAGCATGGGCACGGGTGTGTGGACTCTCAAGACACAGCTCAGTTCCAGATAGCCATTGGCTTTCCTTGCATCACATACAGAGCTGTTGGCTATACCTTCAGAGATTGCTAATGAGTTGCTGGCCCCGTGTCTGTAGTGCTCAGGGCATGACTCTGTGTTGGAAAGTTTGCACAGTCTTTGTTCTTTTTTCCTGTAGGTTCTGATTTTCCTGAAGAGGACACTGAGCAAAGGTGAGAATGGCTTGCAGGAAATCTTCAGTCAGCAAGGTGTCTGCCACATTCGAGGGGAGAATGCCATGTGCCTTTCATACCAGAATTCATTAGTCAAGTCTATTTCAGAGACAAGTGGGGTGGCCTGAGACTTCAGAGCACAAATCACATCTCTGAGGGCGTCCTTTAGGGTGATGACTACATTAACCACAGAGCCCCCTCAGATGGCTGTGTTGGTTTGAAGAAGTCAGAGTCCATGCTAAGTGCCTGCTGTTTGGGTTGGTGTGAAATGAAAAGCTGATTTAATGGCTATGAGCTGAGTGTGTTGATGGTGAATTAAGACATAGGGGTAAACCATTCTTAGCTTTTGTTAGGGTTTGATGAGATAATATTTGGAATGTGTGAGTAGGGAGACCAATTTCACACTTGACTAATTGGCTTTAATCTTTCTCAACTTAACTCCTGACTGTCTGACAGAGATCCTCTTCCGAGAGCTGGAGGTGCGACAGGTTGCCCTGAGACATCTTATTCACTTCCTTAAGGAAATAGGGGATCAAAAGTTGCTTTTAGACCTCTTCAGGTAAGAACTGATCATCTGGTCTATAAAGTTTAGTAAGTACTTGTTTCAAAGCACTCTGAGGGATACAAAGGAATAGAAGACGCCAACTGCCCTTTTCCTGGAAGTGCTTGGAAGACAAGCTATTGAAGTGTGAGGGGATAACTAGCAGTACAGCATAGCTTATGATAAGGTGCAAGTTGGTTAAGAACCAGGCTTTGGAGTCACATGCACTTGGGTTGAATGCTATTATAGGTCTCCCACATCATTCATTGAGTGACCTTGGCCAAGTTATCAACCCTCTTCATGAGTTTTTCACATCGATCAAATGGAGATGATGACACCTACCCACAGGGTTATTATGAAGATGAAGGGCTAGTATGTGAGCCAGCACTTAGCATAATACCTAGTTTGTAGTATTAGTATTTATTAAGTGTTTTCTTACAAAAGACCTAGAATAAAGGTATCTTTTATTACTTGATTCTAAGTGATACCAGTGGGAAGTACAGTAGAAGAGAAGAAGAAAATATTTTCAGTCAGGATACCCAGGGAAAGCCTCATGGAAGTGATTAGGATTTGCATGGGCCTATGAAACTAGGTAGGATTCTGATAGGTGAGAGGTAGGCATGTCTGCTGGGGGTAAAGAGGGCTGAGGTCTTCTATCATGTTTTTCTTCCCTCTAATTCCAGTCAGTGGGGACTATTTCCCACCTTTGGATTAAAATATGTGCACATGATGTCTTTTCTTCAGTGTCAGAGAAAGGGTTAGAACCTCTGTTTAGACTGACATGTGGCCCAAGGTGACTGATATCCAGTGACTCCAGCACAGCAATGAGCTCCCCAAAAGACTGAGGTGGGGAAAAGCAGGTTACCTGGTTAGGGTCAAGATTACAGATGTTAGCCAGGAATTTGCAAAAGAAGACATGGTCACAGAGGCTGGCTGCTTCCTCCCTCCTTCCTTCCCTCCCTTACTCTTTCCCAACCAACAGGGCTTTATCAGGCATCACCTCCATGCCAAAATGGTAATGTTAATTATGGTGGTCTATTCAGAGTAAAGAAGAATCAGAAGACAAAAGTCCTGGTGCTCCAAGGTCTGGGGGAGACAAAACACATTGTACTCTGTCCATGAAAACAGTAAAGAACAATATAGAAAATCTGTTTTCAAGATTGTATTGACAGAGAATAGTGCTTTAATCTTAGGAAAAAAAAAAACAACAACCAAGTTTTCTGTGGGCTAGAGTAGGTGGCTCTGAGCCTCCCTGTCAGAACTGTTAACAAAGTTATTAGTTCCTTGCAGTACCTTCTTGTCCTTGCTTTTTGTTCAGCCAGAGAGACCAGGGGAACAATGATATCTGATCAACCATTTATCTTGTGTATAGAGGGAAATGAGTTTGAATTGTGTTTCTCCTAGAGGAGGCACTCGATTTTGTGAGGTTATACTGCCACACATCAATAGATACAAATGCCCTGCTCCCTTCTGCTTCTTCCCAGGTTCCTAGATAGAACAGAAGAGCTTGCGGTAAGTGTGGCCTTTGTTTCAGTTGGGTACCTGTTTAACAGAAATCTAGGCTGGGCACAGTGGCTCACGCCTGTAATCCCAGCACTTTGGGAGGCCGAGGTGGGTGGATCACCTGAGGTCAGGAGTTCAAGACCAGCCTGGCCAACATGGTGAAACCCTGTCTCTACTAAAAATACAAAATTAGCTGGGTGTGGTGGCACGCACCTGTAATCCCAGCTACTTGGGAGGCTGAGGCAGGAGAATTGCTTGAACCTGGGATGGGGAGGTTGCAGTGATCTGAGATCGTGCCATTGCACTCCAGCCTGGGCAACAGAGTGAGACTCTGTCTCACGAACCCAGAAATCTAAGCCAAACCCCCGCCTCCAAGATCCCAGACTGATTGAACTATTTCCTTTGATATTGATTATATACAGAAGAGAGAGGCACCTGGAAAACCTGAAAACTTAATCCAAATGATGTATTCTTTCTTTTTATATGCTCTTTTGGTTGGGCTTATGAATAAATTTTAAAAAATAAACATGTGAAAATTGGCCTGGTCAATTTGTAATTTGTTTTTCGGTTGTTTTCAGGTCCTGGTTGTTAGGAGTTTTGGGGTTTTGGCTTCTCACAAAGAAAATGTTGAAGGCTAAGAGGATAAGAAACCAGATATAGGTCAAGAAGGAAGATAGGTCAAGTTGATGATACACCCAATACACGTTTTGGCTGAGAATTCAATGGCCAGGTGTTAAGATTAAATTTTGGCAGATTTTCACAATCATGGAATGAACTCCTGGAATACAAGAATAAATCTGAAATTTTACCAAAAACTCAGTTGTATTATTAAAACTTCAGCAATTCATGTTAAAAAAAAAAAAAAAAAACTTGGCAGGAATAAGAATTTCCAGCCAAGCACGGTAGCTTATGCCTGTAATGCCAGCACTTGGGAGGCTGAGGTGGGAGGAACACTAGAGTCCAGGAGTTAGAGAACAGCCTGGGCAACATAGTGAGATCCCATCTCTAAAAAAAAATTTAAAAAATTAGCAAAGCATGGTGGCGCATGCCTGTAGTCCCAGCTACCTGGGAAGCTGAGGTAGGAGAATCGCTTAAGTCTGGGAGGTCATGTCTGGGTGAAAGAATGAGACCTTGTCTCAAAGAATTTCTCAGCACTGTCGATGGCAGGATTGCTTTTTTAGTTATTGTACAACACATTTGTGATATCCATACAGACATTCAGTTGGCACATTAAATATTGTTAACCTTTGAACAGCATAATTATATATATAATACTGAAAATGCTTTTCAGAAACATGGTTTTTTTTTTTCGAGACAGGCTGGAGTACAGTGGTGCGTGATCATATAGTTTACTGCAGACTCTCAATTCCTGGCTCAAGCCTTAGGCTCCCAAGTAGCTGGGACTACAGGTGCACACGACCACACCTGACTAATTTTTAAAAATCTTTTTGTAGAGACGGGGGTCTCACTTTGTTTGCCAGGCTGGTCTTGAACTCCTAGCCTCAAGCTATCCTCCCACCTTGGCCTCCCAAAGTTCTGGGATTACAGATGTGAACCACCTCACCTGGCTCAGTAACATGTTTTCTGAAAGGAACTTGTACTTAATATTCAAAGCATGAGAGAATCTGAAAAATCCATTTTCTTAATCAACTAAAAATGATTGGCAGCCTGTAGTAATCATTTGAAAAGCTGTTTGTTTATATTTTTAAATCTCTGTAAGTTCAAAACTATAAGGATTTTTCTTCTTACAGCATTCTTATAAAGTTTTTTGTTTTGATTTTCATTAGTGAGAATAAATGTGTTTTGGGTAACTCATTTTTATCTAAAACTTTATTTTCTTTATACTCATTATGTTCGAATTGAAGATGATTTATCATGCATGTTGTTGTATATAGATTTTGAGTTTTTCAACCTTGTAAACTTTGGAAGTGGCAAAGCTGATAGTACACTTTTAGTGTATGCCCACAGAATATGAAGGTTTCCCATGTAGAACTTTTCTTGAAAGACCTAAGGATGAAATGGAATTGAATAACAAAAAATTAACTATAGCTCTTAAAGGTTACTTTCTTTAATATTAGGAATGATTGTATACCAACTATTTTATATGAACTATTTTACGAAGATTGGATTATGATATGTAATTTCTGTTATTCTGTCTTATGTTATTTACATTTTTACATTTACATTTTTATATACATTTACATTTTTGTATACATCTGTTGGCTCAATCTGAGAATATTTATGAACAGTGAGTCAGAATGACATGCCCTATTTATATTACTGATGTTAATTGTTAGATATTTACATGATCATACTACCATTGATCATGTACATGGTCAAGGATGCCAAAAATAACACTGAAATAGGTATTTAGCTCTTGGACTTTTCAAAATCTAAAGCTGAAGCAAAATATTCATTTTTGGTTAAATACTGAGGCTAAAGTGAAACTTAAAGGTAAAGCTTGGTACTCTATCTACTCAGTGCTTCATTATAGGTCAGCACTGGCCAATAGAACTTTCTACAATGATAGAAATATTCCATATTTGGGCCGGGCGTGGTGGCTCACGCCTGTAATCCCAGCACACTGGGAGACCAAGTTGGGCAGGTCACCTGAGGTCTGGAGTTCGAGACCAGCCTGGCCATCATAGTGAAACCCTGCCTCTACTAAAAGTACAAAAATTAGCCAGGCATGGTGGTGGGCACCTGTAATCCCAGCTACTTGGGAGGCTGAGGCAGGAGAATCGCTTGAACCTGGGAGGCAGAGGTTGCAATGAGCTGAGATTGTGCCATTGCACTCCAGCCTGGGCAACAAGAGTGAGACTTCGTCTCAAAAAAAAAAAAAAAAAAATTTTCCATATTTGTGTTGTCCAATATAGTAGCTCCTAGTCACATGTAGCTGTTGAGTTCTTTAAAAGTGGTTAGTGTTAACTAAGGAGGTGAATTTTTACATTAATTAATTTAAATTTAAAGAAACAGTTGTAGCTAGTGGCTATTGTATCGTACAGTGCAGTTATAGATAAACCTACTAATGATACTTAGTCACTCTTTGCCTATCCCCCCACCCGCCTCCAATAACCATCTATACCCAGAAATGAAGAATTTGTTTTTTTAAAGCATGGGAAGTTCAGTTAATCAGCTATCTCCCTCATCTAAGGAGACAAAATACCTCAAAGCCTTTTTCTGCTTTTTGTAGCTATCTCATTATCGAGAGCATTTGAACATTCAGGACCCTGACAAACGAAAAGAATTTCTTAAAACCTGTGTTGGGTAAGTATGGGGGAAAAATGATTTTAAGTATAAATACCTTTACCCAGAAGGAATGAAGAAAATTAAAAAGGGTGGAATGGATAGGCAGGAAGGGGAGGGCTAACAATGAATCATACCAGCATCATTCAGGGTCACCTCATGCAGTGGTGTTCACACACTAGTCCCCAGCAGAGTTTCCACTGCTTGATGGTAAACTGAGGAAAAAAAAAGACAAATGTAGAGAGATTTTTTTTCCTAAAGCTAAATTTATTTAATTTGAAAGGTTATCTTTTATTGTAGGATTTTGTCCTCACTCTTCTCTTCTTCTTTGGTACTAAAATGAGCTGTACCTTTTTTTATGACCTTAGGTAATAAAAAGATAGCAATACTTTAGGGACCTGATGCATTTTTTCAGTGTTACTGGTCCTTGAAACCCCAAAGTCCAAGAACCACTGATCCAGGGCAAGCTTTCATCCAGAATTTAACTTATTGCAAAACCCAGCTCCACATATTCCTGTGACAGGATGCCCGTTGCTCTTGAAACAGCTCAGTTTGTTTTTGAACAACCTTCGTTATTGGAAAGTGCTTCCTTACGTTAAGCTGAAATTTGCTTCCCTGTATCTTTCAAGACAGGTGTAGAGTCTACCCAGTAGTCCTTGCTTCTTCAGGTTCAGTACTCATGGTTGTTTCAACCATTCCTCATGTGACATGATTTCCCGGCTTCATGTTTAGAAATTTGATTATATCAGTGAAATCCATTTAATGTTACCAAATACTGAGATATGTTATATGGCCTCTGGAAAACAAGGAGAAAAGTTAAAATAGTGAAGTAACTAGAATTTATAGCATCTCTCTTTATCTCTTCTAAAAATTCACTATGGCTAAAACTTATCTGGAATAGTGTAATTAAAACTCAGAATTCTTCCTGGAGTGAGCAGAGTATGGGGAATAATGCAGCACTTTCTAAAAGATATATCTGTGAACTGGGCATTTAAAATCTGGCTTCTATTCTTGGCCTTCCCCATTGACCACATGACTTTTTGGCAAGACGCTGTCCCTCAGCATCTTCATGTATAACAATAATGTGGCCGGGCGCAGCAGCTCACGCCTGTAATCCCAGCGCCTTGGGAGGTTGAGGCAGGTGGATCACGAGGTTAGGAGATCAAGACCGTCCTGGCGAACATGGTGAAACCCTGTCTCTACTAAAAATACAAAAATAAGCTGGGCGTGGCAGCATACGCCTGTAGTCCCAGCTACTCTGGAGGCTGAGGCAGGAGAATTGCTTGAACTCAGGAGGTGGAGGTTGTAGTGAGCCAAGATCATGCCACTGCACTCCAGCCTGGGTGACACAGAGAAACTCCATCTCAAAACAAGCAGACAAACAAAAAACATAATGCAGTGTTGAAGATGGGACCCTTGACATTTGTGATATTTGCTGATCTATAAACATACCACCATGGCATGTAATTTAATTTACCTTTTGTACTCTGCCATAAAAAAATGGCTAACAAATCTAGGTGTCCCCTCAGTAAGTTAAGCACAAGCCACAGAATTTCACTGGGATGTGGATGATGGGCAGTTGCCTAGGCTCACTCATTAGCTTTGTGACTCATTCACCAAATATTCCAACTCTCAAAATGAGAGGATTCTAATTCATTTATCAGCAAAATTATGAGTGACTATAAGTATTTTGTGGACTCTCAGGATCCCTCTTGAATTGGCAAAACCTTTAATATGAAATTCACGCCATTCATGCGATGTCTTTCTTTAAGGGACGCTCTAAAGGTGAACTGAGATCAGACTTGTGAGGCACCGTGAGCCTCTTATACTTATGCTGGCGATTTGGTTTAGTTGGGTTTGTTTCCTTGTTTGAATAGAGAAAGGTACTAACCTTCTGGCACTCTACCAGTTTGCCATTTTCAGCAGAAGATTCCGCACACATACAGGACCATTACACGCTCCTGGAACGTCAGATCATTATTGAGGTTAGACTCTTCATCTCTATATCTTTTGCTTCAGTGCCAAGGCTCAGTGCCGTTCAGCATCTAGGAGATTTCTATGCTCTGCACGTGGGTCATTTCTTACTGGTTTCTAAAAGCCTTTCATTTTCTGCCTGTACACAATAGCCCCCTTCCTCCATTGTTTTTAGGATCCTTTTTCCTCTTACCAGCTGTTAACCTGGAAGTATTTCTTCTTCATCCCGAATCTCCCATGTCCTCCCCACTTCTATTTGTTTCCATCCAATGTGGATTCATGATCATTTGATGGATTTTAAACTACTCTGGGGATATCCTAGGCAATTTCTTTCTTTTTCTGTTCTTTGTTTCTCTCCTAGGGTGGGAAACACAACTGCTGTAGTATTAAAAGATTTTTCTCCTGCCTCTACTCCATGGACATTGTTTTTTTTTTTTTTCACTTGGCTCACTCCACCACAGGCAAATGATCGCCATCTAGAATCAGCAGGACAGACTGAGATCTTCCGAAAGCACCCCCGCAAAGCCTCCATCCTCAACATGCCACTAGTGACAACACTTTTCTACTCCTGCTTCTATCACTACACAGAGGCTGAGGTACAGGCAAAATATGGAAGATTCCACAAACTCTCATTGCACAAAAAGAAGATAGTTCAAATCCAGTACTTTTATGTACTCTATTAATAATGGGTATGTATAGTTCTCAGAAATCCACCTGGAAGCTTTCCTGGCCCTCACCAGGGGTAAGAGGGCCTCATCTGGCCAGGAGGGAAAAGAGGTTTGTAAGGTTTGTAGCTTCAAGTGAGCTGGCATGCTAGCATAGCAAGTTCTGTCCCTGGTGCTGTTACCTGTAGAAGTCTCTGTTCAAAGGTCCACAATATCAAATGGATTAGCATGATGTGGAGAAAAGCAGTAGGGTGGCAAGTAGCTATGGATACTTTTTTTTTTTTTTTCTCTGAGATGGAGTCTTGCTCTGTCGCCCAGGCTGGAGTGCAGTGGTGCGATCTTGGCTCACTGTAACCTCCGCCTCCTGGGTTCAAGCAATTCTCCTGCCTCAGCCTCCTGAGTAGCTGGGATCACAGGTGTGCGCCACCACTCCCCGCTAATTTTTTTTTTTTTGTATTTTTAGTAGAGACAGGGTTTCACCATGTTGGCCAGGCTGGTGTTGAACTCCTGACCTCGTGATCCACCTGCCTCAGCCTCCCAAAGTGCTGGGATTATAGGTGAGAGCCACCGCGCCTGGCTACTCTTTTTTTCTTTCTAAATTTTTCAAAGAAGTATGGATTCCATGATAACAGGCAGACATTTTCTCCTTATTTGGATTAGCAGAAAATGGGAAAAGGCACCATACTTATTACTCCAGTTCTTGATAAGCCAGCTTATAGTGGTATCTGACTATTCCCAATGGAGCTTTTCCCTGAAATTAATTTCTATGTTTAAATGGCAGCAGAGTAAGATGTAGAAAGTCTCTGTAGTGGGAAAGAAAATGAGAGCTTGGGTGGTACTTGGGAAAGTCAATATCACTAAAGTTCCTTTTTCACTTTCATCCTAGGGGACATTCAGCAGTCCCGTCAACCTGAAGAAGACATTTAAGGTAGATACAAATTGGTCAGTGTTATGAAACTAGTGATCAGGGTAACTACATGGAGTGGATGTTGCTTTGTAACCCTGTACAGTGTGTCCTTTGATATTCAAGGTTAAAGGTGGAAAGGAATGAGTTTGGGAAAGTGAGAGAAGACTGAATGGCCTATAGCAGTGCTGGGGCTTGGGAATTAAGAAGTTCTTGAACTGAGAAATTTTTTGATTTTTAAGGGGCAGAGTCAATATCAGGAAATATTTAATGTCTGTCTTTTCTAAAATTCTTAAGCACCCCCATTGATGTATTTCTACTTCCCCTTAATTTTTCTCGGTCTCTGCTTTCCAGATCCCAGATAAACAGTATGTGCTGACAGCCCTGGCTGCTCGTGCCAAGCTTCGAGCCTGGAATGATGTAGATGCCCTATTCACCACAAAGGTGTGTGCCCTGCCCCTGTGCTGCTGAGGCCTTGGGAGACAGAAGGGTTCTATCATGTTATAAGTTCTAGTTACCGGTTTACATTTTTCCTCCAACTTTTTATTTTCCAAAATTTCAAACCTAAAGAAAAGTTGAAAGAATGAATTTTATAGTTCATATAATAATCAAATATATACTATAATAGTATAATAGTCTTTATCCACATCACTAATTTATTAACAATTTTGCCATGTATGCTTTCTCTTTTTCTATACCTATGTGTTTTTCTTTTCTGAATCATTTGAAAGTAAGTTGTAGACATCTTAACACCTCTCCTTTAATACTACGTAAGCACAATATTGGGCTGGGCGCGGTGGCTCACGCCTATAATCCCAGCACTTTGGGAGGCCGAGGCGGGTGGATCACCTGAGGTCAGGAGTTTGAGACCATCCTGGCCAACATGGTGAAACCCCGTCTCTACTGAAAATACAAAAATTAGCTGGGTGTGGTGGTGTGCACCTGTAATCCCAGCTACTCAGGAGGCTGAGGCGAGAGAATTGCTTGAATCCAGGAGGCGGAGGTTGCAGTGAGCCAAGATTGCACCATTGCACTCCAGCCTGGGCAACAAGAGCAAAACCCTGTCTCAAAAAAAAAGAAGCACAATATAATTATCACTAAAAAAATTTAACATTAATATAATAATACATATTTAATCATGGTCCATATTTAAATTAGTTATTTATAGCTACTTTTGGTTTGCTTCTGTATTTTTTTCTATCAGGATCCAATCAAAGACCTTGGATTGAGTTTGGTTGTCATGTCTTTACTGATTTACCTTTTTTTAAATTAATTTTTATTGTATATATTTAAGGTACAACATAATGTTTTGATCTACATATACATAGTGAAATGATTATACAGTCATGCCAATTAACCCATCATCTCACAGTTAGCCATTTTTTGTGAGTGTGGTAAGAACCCCTAAAATTCACTCTCTTAGCAAATTTCCAGTATACACTACACTATTATTAACTGTATTCCTCATGCTGTACATTAGATTTCTAGATTTATTCATCCTGCATAACTACAACTTTGTATCCTTTGACCTACTTTTTTCCCCCTCTGGAAACTACTTTCTATGTGTTTGACTTTTTTAGATCCTACATGAGTGAGATCATGAGGTTATTTTCCTTTCTGTCTGGCTTATTTCACTTAGCATAATGTCCTCCAGGTTCATCCATGCTGTCACATGTCAGGATCTCCTTATTTTTTAAGTTCTGAATATATTCCATTGTATATATGTACCACAATTTCTTTATCCACTCATCCATCAATGGACACTTAGGTTGTTTCCATATCTTGGCTCTTGTGAATAATGCCACAATAAACATGGGAGTGTAGATGTCTCTGTGAGATGCTGATTGCATTTCCTTTGGATTTATATGCAATAGTGGGATTGCTGGATCATATAGTAGTTCTGTTTAAACATTTTTGAGGAACGCCTATACTGTTTTTCATGATGGCTGCACTAATTTACATTCCCACCGACAACAGTGTACCAGGGTCCCTTTTCTCTATACCCTTGCCAACACTTGTTATCTTTCTTCTTTTTTTAAGATAAATGTTATTATATATTGTATATACTTAAGTTATACGATAAGATGTTATGAGATACATGTAGAGAGTAAAATGGTTACTACAGTGAAGCAAATTAACATATCTATCATCTCAAATTATTTTTTTGTGGCAAAAACAGCTAAAATCTACTCATTTAGCAAAACTCCTGATTACAGTACAGTACTATTAACTACAGTCCTCATCTTGTAATTAGATCTCTAAAGCTAATATTCCAGCATGTATGTATATATATACCATAGTTCCATAGTTTCTGTATCCATTTGTTTGTCAATGGACACTTAAGTTGTTTCCTTATCTTGGCTATTTTTTAGGGAGAGGGAATTATTTATTTGTTTATTATTTTTGTAAGTTACAGATATTTAAATTCTCAGCAATAATTTATAATAGTTACATTTCATGAATAGTTAACATCTCATGAATAGTGTTACAATGAATGTGGAAATGCAAGTATCTTTATGAGGTGATGATTTCATTTATTTTGGGCATATACCCAAAAGAAAGATTGATTACTGGGTCATATGATAGTTCTATTTTTATTTTTATTTTTACTTTTTTGAGAGAGGGTCTCACTCTGTCACCCAGGCTGAAGTGCAGTGGCATGACCGTAGCTCACTGCAGCCTGTTTTCCACATTGGCTACACCAATCTACATTCCCACCGACAGGGTACAAGAGTTCCCTTTCCCCACACCCTTGCTAACACATCATTTGTCTTTTTGATAACAGTCATCTTAACAGGTGTGAGGTGATATCTTATTATAGTTTTGATTTGCATTTCCCTGATGTTTAGTGATACTGATCACCTTTTCATGTACTTCTTGGCCATTTCCATGTCTTCTTTGGAGAAATGTCCATTCAAGTCTTTTGCCCATTTTTAAATCTGGCAATTTTTGTTTCTGCTATTGCATTGTGTGAGTTCTTTATATGTTTTAGATACTAATCCCTTATCAGATATGTGGTTTACAAATATTCTAATCCATAGGCTGCCTTTCATTTTGATTGTTTCCTTTGCCATGCGCAGCTTTTTAGTTTGATGTAATCCCATTTATTTTTGCTTTTGTAGCCTGAGCCTTTGGTGTGATATCCAAAAAAATCATTGCCAAGGCCAATGTCAAGGAGCTTTTTCCCATGTTTTCTTCTATGAGTTTTATGGCTTCAGGTCTTATGCTTAGGTATATTATCCATTTTGAGTTGATTTTTGTGTATGGTGTAAGATAAAGGTCTAATTTCATTCTTTTGCATGTGGAAATCCAGTTTTCCCAGCACCACTCATTGAAGAGACTATCCTTTCCCCATTGGGTCCTCTTGGTGCTTTTGTTGAAAATTAGCTGACCATATATGCTTGGGTTTATTTCTAGGCTCTCTATTCTATTCCACTGGTCTATGTGTTTGTTTTTATGCCAGCCCCGTACTGTTTTGATTAATATATGTAACTTTGTAATATAATTTGAAATCATGAAGCATGTTGCCTCCTACCCCTACCCCCCCTTTTTTTTTTTTTTTCTTTTTTGAGACAGAGTCTTGCTCTGTCACCCAGGCTGGAGTGCAGTGGTGCAATCTCAGCTCACTGCAACCTCTGCCTCCAGGGTTCCACTGAATCTCCTGCCTCAACCTCCCGAGTAGCTGGGATTAAAGGCATGCGCCACCCTGCCCGGCTAATTTTTGTATTTTTAGTAAAGATGGGGTTTCACCATGTTGGCCAGGCTGGTCTCGAACTCCTGGCCTCAAGTGATCCGCCCACCTCGGCCTCCAAAAGTGCTGGGATTACAGACATGAGCCACCGCACCTGGCCTCCATTTTGTTTTTCTTTAACATTGATTGCTTTGGCTATGTGGGATCTTTGGCGGTTCAATATGAATTAGTTTACGTTTTAAATATCTGTTTTTCCATTATGGGTTTAAAAATTTTCTGTTTTTCCTATTTGTTAATTATTTAATTAGTTATATTAACAAAGCAATATGTGTCTGTTGTCAAAATCAAACACTGTATTAAAGTATAGAAAGAGTGAAGTTCCTTTTTCATTTTCTACCTACTCCTATCTCACCCCCTTTCTCAAGGCAAACACTGTTAAAAGTTTAATGGGTAGCTTTCCAGACCTTCCCTCATGAATTTGCAAATAAACATCTGTACTTACAAAGATATGGAAGATGGAATTATTTTCTACATTGATAAGTTCATACTACAAATATTAAGTAAGTTACTTATCCCATTTAGTAGTATTTCAAGACTTTTCCCTGCATTCGTTTCTATAGATCTAAGAAGTTATTTCAAACCTGATTCATTTCCACTCTCTCAAATCCCTTGATTTTTCTGAAAAATTCATTTCTCATTATTTCTGTATCCCTCAGCACCCCCACTCACCCACCACATTATTCTGGTCTGATCGTAAAACATAGACTAACCTAGAATGTGTTGAGTGTGCCTGGCCTACCTGCCGCTACCCCATCTTCCTCTTTCAGAACTGGCTGGGCTATACCAAGAAGAGAGCACCCATTGGCTTCCATCGGGTTGTCGAAATTTTGCACAAGAACAATGCCCCTGTGCAGGTAATGGGTCCTGAAGAGAGTTGGGTACAGGATATTCTTGGAGACCTAACTTTAAGCCTCTTACTGGTCAGTGATGGGAGACCCGATCTGCTCTTGTTTTCCCTTAAAGGCAGCACAATGGCTGCAATAGGCCTCAAGACAGAAAAGGCCAGGGAGTGAAATTCTCTCCCTTTCTCCCCTTTAGAAACAATTCCAAACTGTCCTCTCTGAGTAGCATCTACTGTGTTAGCCCAAGTGGAATACTGATGTACTGTTCAAATGATAGAAAAGGAGAACTCGTGGAGAAAAGACATCAGGGAGAAATGAGCAGAGCACTGGATCACAGCTAGAGCACTCATTGCTGGCATGTGTATCTGGCTCGAGGATCAGGAGAAGTGTGCTCTTTCCTGCTTACTGAGGCAGCATGGAAGTACTGTGTAGCGTTACCTCATTCCCATTGCAGAACTAGTCCTGTGGTTGATGATGGAAACTGGAAACATTAGCTATTGAACTCTTTTGCCTTCTTCAGGACTTTCTTTTCTACCTTGTAGAGCTCTGTGCCTTATGGGTGTTTGAATCATTAATCGGAAGTACCTCTTCCCACAGATATTACAGGAGTATGTCAATCTGGTGGAAGATGTGGACACGAAGTTGAACTTAGCCACTAAGTTCAAGTGCCATGATGTCGTCATTGATGTGAGTCCCCAAGAAATGGGAGTCCTCCGTTAGATCCTCAGTGGCGAAGCAGGGTGGGGATTATAATATTCTCTGTCCAAGATCCTGAGGTGCTCCCACCAGGTTTGACTGAATGGACAGAATAATCTGGCAAGAGTTTGTTTGGAGACCAGCACTCCTGTATTATTTTCCCAGCCCTCTGACTGCTTTCTCTGTGTTTTTATAAACTTGTCGTACTTGGAGAATTCATAGAACTAAATCAAGCTATACAAGCTGTGTAGTCTTCTCTCCAACATGGAGTTCTGTGGGCACTGGACCCCACTGTTATCCCACTATAGCCTCTTAGCCTCTCCTTGAGCGTTGGGTCAAAGTGATAATGACAAAAAGAAATAAGCCCTCATGTGTACACAGTAGCACACACCAGTAGTTCCAGCTACTCAGGAGCCTAAGGAGAGAGGATTGCTTGAGCCCAGGAGTTTGAGACCATCCTGGGCAAAAAGAACCCTGTACAGAGGCTGATTGGAGGTTTGTATTGTTTGTTTTGATGCACAGACCTACCGGGACCTGAAGGATCGTCAACAGTTGCTAGCATACAGGAGTAAGGTAGATAAAGGATCAGCAGAGGAGGAGAAGATTGATGCTCTTCTCAGCAGCTCGGTGAGCAGCTACAGTTCACCCCTCCAGCAGGCTCAGGAGACAGACAGTTCACAAAATAGTACCAAATGTATGTTCCCAAGGTCTGGAAGGATTGCAGTTGGCTAAGCCACATGGATGTAAGGCTCTCCTCTGGCCACAATGTCAAAAGCACTGCTTTGAATAGCAGAAATTACTCCTGAGATGCGGTATGATAGGGGGGTAATCTGGGGACCTCAAGCTAAGACTTAACTGTAATGCTGTGATAATAGTTAAACCTAGCATGTAGGAGAAACTAAATATTGAAAGTATGAAAACATGTTACAGATTCAGAATATCCAAACTGTATGGTCTCGTGGGGATGGATGGGACCTACCAGTTGAAAATAAGAAGTGGGTGAAATAGATGTTAGCTACCTGGGGAGCACAGCTGGTTCGTCTCTCACAGCAGGAAATTACTGAGCTCTTTGTTAATATGAAAGTTAGTTCCCTGTTAGGTATTTTGGAACCTACCTTAGGGTCAAATGACCAAAATTAGGCTTGTAAAATACAAAATAGGTGTTTAATGCATCTTTGAATAAATGAACTCCCCCATATATTTTAAAAAATTTCTCAACATCCCCCACCTCCTGATCTGATTCTACTTTTTCTTTTCCTTACATTATCTAGCTGAGCCTTGTTTTGTTGCATTTTCTCTGCCTTGCTGTAGGGATAAGTGAAAACTGATCACACACTTTCATTGTTTCCTCTTTCCACAGCAAATTCGATGGAAGAATTAAGTGGCATTGACTACCTTGAAGCCTGCCTCATTTCCTCCTCTCCTGCCTGTGAAAGCAGAGAGAGCTCTTCTTTGGGAGAGCTGCGGCATCACATCGCTTGGGCCCATTACCCATGGGCAGTGCCAGCTACTCTTGACACAGATAACTTCAGACTGATCTTCTGTCCAAGGAACATCATCTGAGGATCGAGATCTAAAGCTTTGAGTCATGAGAATGATTCTCTCCACCTGGTGCTCATATGAAGGTGGGAGTGATTTCTAGATTGGGCCCCTACTGGGTAAGATCTCACTTGGTCTGAGAAAAGTGACTGCTCCAGAAAGGAAGAGGTATGGGAGTCATAGGGTGGCTACTGCATTCCACTCAGCTAATTATGATCCAGGACTTGGCGCTGGACATTGGCAGTTCTGCTCTGAATGAAGTCAGAACAGAACCAAAATGGCCTCAGGAAGGAATGCCAGTGTTTCCCAAGACCTCCTGGAGATGCACTCACACCAGACTGCACAGACCCCTCCACATTATGCCACACATGGCCTAGACGTTGTGTTTCCTCAGCCATTTTCCCTCTGCTGCCCCAGTTTACTCTGTCCAAAACCCTAAGGTTCTTCTCTCACTTGAACACAGACGACCTTGCTTGGGTGATGAGACATCCCCTTTATCTCTTCCTCTACTGCTGGCCAAGACCCGTCACTTTATAAGAAGCTCAGATGCAGCAGTGCTGGAGAGCTCTCTCTTTATGCAAAAATCTCATTTCACCAGGAGCTTTCAGAAGTTTCACCTGGGCTAAATTCAGCAGCATTTCTGTTAGGATATTTAGATGGAGGTTTTATTTTCACACTTGGATTCTTGCTCTGTACCAATATTTGCCTCCTTTTCTGTGACTGAACTGGGTTTTTCTGACATGCCTAGACTCCTAATAAAGGTATTTCTTCCTTGGTGCCTTCTCTCCCGCTCCTGGTGGTTTTGTGTAGAATGATGAAATAATTGCTCAGGATCTTAGGATCATTACAAGTCTTCCTCAGTGACTGCATTTAGCAGCCTGTCGGCACATGTCAGGTTATAGAGTAACAGTGCTATGGCAAAGCAGGGCTGTGTGGTTAACAGAAACAGCACGGTGCTGGGAGACACAAGACCTGACTTTTTCCAGCTCTACCACTAAATAGTTATGTGATGCTGGGTGAGTCCCTTTCTTTCTCTGGATTCATTAGATAATCTAAAATTTTGTAGAGTTTGTTTGTTTGTGAGATGGTGTCTCGCTCTGTCGCCCAGGCTGGAGTGCAGTGGCGCTCTCAGCTCACTGCAACCTCCACCTCCCAGGTTCAGATGATTCTCCTGCCTCAGCCTCCCAAGTAGCTGGGATTACAGGCACCTGCCACCACGCCCAGCTAATTTTTGTATTTTTAGTAGAGACAGGGTTTCGCCATGTTGGCCAGGCTGGTCTCAAACTCCTGACCTCAGTTGATCCGCCTGCCTTGGCCTCCCAAAGTGCTGGGATTATAGGCATGAGCCACCGCACCCGGCCTGTTTTTTTAAATAGACATGGTCTGTCACCCAGGCTGGAGTGCAGCGGCACCGTCATGGCTCACTGCAGCCTTGACATCCCAGACTCAAGCAATCTTCCTGCTTCAGCCTCCTGAGTAGCTGGGACTACAGGCACGTGCCACCACACCCAGCTAACATTTTGTAGAGTTCTGTGCTCCTGTGACTGTGGAGTGGGTGAAGTCATAGAAGGCAAAGAGAAGATGCTCCTACAGAGGCACATGCCATGCCTTAAGGCAATATGGCTCTCAACTGGAGGCAGTTTTGCCCCTCAAGAGACATTTGGCAATGTTCGAAGTTGCTTTCTGTTGCCACACTAGGCGTGCTACTGGCATCCAGTGGGTAGAGGTCAGGGACGCTGCTAAACGCCCTACAATCCACAGGACAGCCCCACAACAAAGGATTATCCTGCCCACATGTTAGCAACACCAGTGTTGAGAAACTGCTTTAAGGGGATCAGACTCCATCTTTTGCTCCTCCACTTTGCAATTCCAGGTAACCTCATATTTAGTTCCTTTCTTGATCATCCTTCTTGCTATTGAAGAAACAAGAGTTTAATTTGCTAGATTGTACTAAAATTATTGGTTCATCTTCAAACAAACAGTGGTTACTTTATTAACTAGTATATTGGTTAGGGTTCATTTAGAGAAGCAGAACCACTAGGCATATATATGCATTATCTAATCTAATCTAATCTAATCTATATCTGCTGTTTGTTAGAGAATTTTGACCTTTCTCTGACCTGTTTAGAGAAATTGGATGAGAAGTACCGAGGAGTAGAGCCTGTCTTTTCTGTTTGAGTACTTCCACTCAAGTATGGCAGCTGGAGGGTGTGTTTAACGTAGTTGTCTTCATGTCCAGTGGTAGAGCTTGAAATCCATAGGGAAGGCCGTGAAGAAGGGAAGATCATTATAAAGTGAGTGAGCAGGGACAAGCTAGAAACCATGAGAAGGGACTGGGACCCATGTCAGTTCTCACAGCCTCAAACCTTGATGAGGTGGGTGTCCCGCTGCTGGAAAAGCTAGTGGCCTTTGTCATGGAAATGAAAAACACCTGGCCCAGGAGTGAGCAACTGAAGAAGGAACCAGGGAAGATGTAGCAGTTACAGGCCCAACTGTTGCCCCTCACCAACAAGGTACTCAGCAGATAAACAACAACATGTGTGAACTACAAAAGTACTTCCCCTGATTATGCACACTGAAACACAGACTGGTTACTGTTCATTTCCACCCTCCTGATCTTGCATAGAAATATCTCTGGTGGTCCACCTTAACTGGAAACATACAGGGAAGGACATTCTGGAAATTGCAGTTCAGCCTAGCCAAGGTGACATAATACAAAATATAACAACTGATCCCCACTTTTGAGAATGCATAAGTAAAGGATAGGCCTAGAATTCATGTCTGTACAACTTGTATGCTGCATTGGTCATGCTAATCTAGGTTTTGAGCTTCTTTTTCCTTCGGAGCAGGAAGCATTACTTGGCAACATTAGGATGACCTACTGACTGTTTTGGTGTAAGAAAATGTTTCTTAGGTTTGATGAGAACGTCCATGCCCCTCATTTCAAGTGCAGAGACTTTGCTTTTACTTTATTTTATTTTTTATTTTTTTGAGATGGAGTCTCCCTCTGCCGCCCAGGCTGGAGTACAATGGCGCAATCTCAGCTCACTGCAACCAACGTCCATCTCCCAGGTTCAAGCAATTCTCCTGCCTCAGCCTCCTGAGTAGCTGAGATTACAGACGTGCCACCACACCCAGCTAATAAGTAGCTGCCACCATGCCCAGCTTTTTAGTAGAGATGGGGTTTCACCGTGTTAGTCAGGCTGGTCAAACTCCTGACCTCAAGCGATCCGCCTGCCTCGGCCTCCCAAAGTGCTGCGATTACAGGCGTGAGCCACCACGCCAGGGTGAGACTTTGCTTTTAAAGAGATGGTGTCGTCATATAACAGCCTTCCTATAAAAGGGATTAGAGAAGCCAGACACAAAAGGTCACATATTGTATGATTCCATTTATATAAAATATCTGGAATAGGTAAATCCATTCAGACAGAAAGCAGATTGGTGGTTCCAGAGGCTGAGGGTGGGGAGGGATAGGGAGTAACTGCTTAATGGGTGTAGGCGTTCCTTTTGGGAATATGAAAGTATTTTGCAACAAGATAGAGGTGGTGGCACAACATTCTGAATGTACTGATGAATTGTTCACTTTAAAATGGCTAATTTTATGTTATGTGGATTTCACCTGAAAAAATTTTATTGGTTTCTTGAACACAAAAAGAAGGAGTTGTAAACTAACTCAAGTAGTGCTAAGATCTGTAAGATATTCTAGTCTGCAAAAAAAACCCCTAGAAATCCAGAATCTTCTGTTGGGAAAAGGAGGGTCTCATACTGCTCTAGTGTAGTACTCCTAGAAATAGTGGAAGGAACTCATGTCCTGATACGCAGCTCAGGAAAACCTCTAAGTGGGGCTGGCCTCTTTAAGACTTAGAGACTGTAATCTGGTAGTTAAGGAGTCATAATCACAAGTTTCTTGGTAATTCTCCTTAGAAATGTAGTTCTTACCTTCCAGGATCAGAAGTACTGAGGAGCAGAGCCAATCTTCTCTGTTTGGTGATAGATATATGTAGATGGGTTTATATGACTTTGAGTTTAGTTTGTAAAATCTAGATGTCCCTGCCCTAGACAGGGGACAATGATATTTAGTTTGGGTTATTTTGTACCCTGTGGAGAACAGAGTTTAGTGAAAGGGAAGCATTTCTTTGAAATGTGGTTCTATGTGTTCAGTCCTATTTCCAAAACGCAGGAGGGAATGGAAGGGAAAACGTCCTGGCCCAAGAATACCTGTAAAACTCAATTGCTGTTGTAAATTCATCTGCCGAAAACAGTGCCTGTAACCTGTGTGGAGAAACAATACTTTGGGTTTCTGTACAGGTTTTTCATGAGTCCAGGATTCATGGGCAGCCAGTGATTAGGAATCCTCAAACACTCACACTCTAGAGTGTGAATTCAAGAGAGGTGAATTCCAAATTCAGAATCTGGGAGTAGAGAGGTGCTGAAGCCCATCATCATGAGTGCTTGTGACCTGGGCACACACACCATCATACACACACCTCCTACATAGACCCCTCTTCTACCGGGACAGGGAGCCAAATTGATTAGTGTCTATCACTGCAGGAAATAGTGGCTTGGAAATGGACATGCTCCAGGACCTTGAGTCCCTGCAGTTTGAGTATGGGGTTCCAGAGGAAGATCGTATCTGGCTGTATTTGCAGGGCCGTTCTCGGGGACTGATGATCGAGGCTTGTGCCCATGCAACCTTCTTCTGCAAACTATTATATAATTTGAGGTAAGCCGAGTATCCAAATTCAGGAAGATGGACAAGAATCTCACTGCTGAGAATTCAAATGTCTTAAATTTTTTTTATATTGGAGGGTAAGTTTGGCTGGTGGATTGTCATCCTATCTTTTCCAACCCAGAGTCAATGACTCCTGGTCTAAAAGGACAGGAAAATCTATACCAGGGTCCCCTGGCTGTGGTTACATAATAAAGCATGGATTAGTAGTGATTACCTTTTAGTGGATGGATTGATTAAATGATCATTTATTCATCCATTCACTCAGTCATCATGACCACCAGCTTGCCCTCCACAGTTGCTAATGTCTAGCCATTCCTTATCTATTGGCAAGGAATGCAAATGGAATCAGTTCTTTCTTTTGGGGCTGAGGTAATAGTGGAATGCTCCCTTACAGGAAGCTACCCGGGACTTCACAGGCCCTGTGCCAGTGACTTCCTTGAAACCAGGAATATTGATTTGCAGAAAAGCTGTCAGTCCAGTCTTGATTCTGATATCTTTCTACAATATGGCTTCAGACACTTAAATAGGAAATGTGTGTGAAGCAGGTACCTATAATTAGGCTTCTGAATTCTGCAACTCCAGGTCACTCTGGGAGCATATGTCACCTCCTCACTCTACTTCTTAGTTTTTCTCTGAAGTTAGATTAATTCCTAGATGGTGGGACCAAATTTGAATTGAACATGTTTATAGATACAGCACATGTCCAAGGAGGCAGGCTTCTCAGTGAATTTACTGACTGGCTTACTGATAAGGATGCATAAACCTATTGGTGGTACTCAATATGACTGGGAGAAAACAATATATGAAACTTGCAGGTGGCATTTTATATTTGGAAGGATCAGGCACTAAGAGAAAATGCTCTTTCAACCAGGAGAGAAGGCTTAAATAGAGAGTGACTTATGTTGCTTAGAAGCAAAATCCAGAGCTTTAAGACACTGGTTTTTACAGAAATACAGAACAAATATAAGGCTGTCATATAGCAACGAAAGTATACCTTATGTATTCAGAAGTCTGACTTTGTTAATCTTGCGCCAAGGAAACACATCCAGCACCAACAGTAAGTGAACCTCTGGAAATAGTGGTCTGAAATCTTCATCCTTAGTTTCTCAGTTCTGTTCTTTTTTGTTTTGTTTTTGTAGTTTAAAGTTGTACCCTGAATGAACACTGTTTTGTTTTTATAAACCATTTATGTGTATAAGTCATAACCTTCTTAAAAAGCCAAGTTATCTGGTTTCTCAAGTCTGCAGATTTGAAATAGCAAACTAGAAAGAGTGGGTGTATCGTAGGAAAGGAATGCACTCACATCTAATAGCAATAAAAATTGACATCTGTCTCAGATTGGTATCAGTAAGATGAAGAAATAGGAAGCTCCAGACTCTGTAACCTCGAGACACTAACTTAACAACAATATATGGTCCAAAAAGCCTTTATGAAACCTCCAGCAAGCACTTAAGAAATTGTAGTGCCCTGGAGAGGTACAAATCCAAGAACAGCTGCATTTACAGGGGTAAGAAAAGCCATTGCAGTTCACCTAAGATATCCCTTTCCTCAAGCCAGCCTCAGGTGATCAGGAGAAAATGCCTAATTTGTGGCTTCTCCTTTGGAGGGAAAAAGAAAAATGGAATGTTTGTCCACTGTTCTGCCTTTTTGGGGGCTGCCTGAGGGATTGGTTTCTGTCTCACATGACTTGGAGCACTGATGAGGAACCAACATATTTTGGATGAAAACAAAGGATCACTCAGTGGCTTGTTGCAGTACAGAGAACCTGCAGTACTGCAGATAGATACCAAAGTGAGGAAAAGATTATCAGCCCCTGCAATAGAAACAGGCAAAACTCTTTAATTGGGAAATTCCAAACTCAAGCCCAGAGAAGACACATTCCTGGAAAGATTTGACAGGCCCCAGAATCTCTAGCTGGGCTGATTGGGAAAGATCTTCCCCTGTATGGTGCCAGTCTGTAAAGATTGGGAGAGGCCTGACTGTTTTTTCAAATGCCCAAATTCCACCAAAAATTAAAAAGGCAATATTGCTCAACCATAAGAACAAACTACTGCAGAAACCAGCCCTAAAGAAACAGATCTGTGAGTTACCTAACAAAGAATTCAAAGTAATAATCTTAAAGAGGCTCAATGAGCTACAAAACACAGAAAAACAACTAGGCTGGGCAAAGTTTACAGATTACAGATTACAGGCCTGTAATTTGTAATTACAAATTACAAATTACAAATTACAGGCCTGTAATCCCAGCAGTTTGGGATGCTGAGGTGGGAGGATTATTTGAGCCCAGGAGTTTGAGACCAGCCTGGGCAACATAGTGAGACCCTGTCTCTGAAAAAACAAAACAAAACAAAAAAAAACTGATGAAATCAGGAAAACAATACATGAATAAAATAATATCATAAAGAGAAACTAAGAACCAAAATTTGGAGCTGGAGAGCACAATAATTGAATTGAAACAACTCACTAGAGTGGTTCAACATTAGACTTGATCACACAGAAGAAAGAATCAGCAAATTTGAAGACCAGTTATTTGAAATTATGAAATCAGAAGAGCAAAAAGAAAAGAAAAGTGAAGAAAATCTAGAGGACTTACAGGATACTATCAAGTGGGTCAATATATGCCTTATGGGAATGTCAGAAGGAGAAGAGAGGCAGAGCAAGGTGCAAAGAGCTTATTTGAAGAAATAATGGCCAAAAACATCCCAGATCTGAGGAAGGAAATGGACATCCAAATTCAAGAAGCTCAGAGGACTCCAATTTGGATGAACCCAAAGAGGACCACACAGAGACACGTTATAATCAAACCATCAAAAGTCAAAGACAAAGAATACTGAAAGCTGCAAAGAAAAAGCAACTTATCACATGCAAGGGAGTTCCCAGAAGACTATTGGTGGCTTCTCAGCAGAAACATTACAGGCCAGAAGGGAGTGCTTGATATATTCAAAGTGCTGAAAGGGGAAAGAAAAAAAAAACCTGTTGGTCAGGTGTGGTGGCTCACGCCTGTAATCCCAGCACTTTGGGAGGCTGAGGGGGGCGGATCACGATGTCAGGACATCGAGACCATCCTGGCTAACATGGTGAAAAACCGTCTCTACTAAAAATACAAAAAATTAGCCGGGCGTGGTGGCGGGCGCCTATAGTCCCAGCTACTTGGGAGGCTGAGGCAGGAGAATGGCGTGAACCCGGGAGGCGGAGGTAGCAGTGAGCCACGATTGCACCACTGCAGTCCAGCCTGGGCGAAAGAGCGAGACTCTGTCTCAAAAAAAAAAAAAAAAAAAAGGAAAAAGAAAAAAAAAAACCTGTCAACCAAGAATACTATCTCTTGCAAACCTGTGCTTCAAAAACTAAGGAGAAGCTGGGCATGGTGGCTCACATCTGTGACCCCAGCACTTTGGGAGGCCGAGGCGGGCAGATCTCCTGAGGTCAGGAGTTCAAGACCAGCCTGGCCAACGTGGTGAAACCCTGTCTCTACTAAAAATACAAAAATTAGCTGGGCATGGTGGCAGGTACCTGTAATCCCAGATACTTGGGAGGCTGAGGCAGGAGAATTGCTTGAACCCAGGGAGGCAGAGGTTGCAGTGATCTGAGATTGCACCACTGCACTTCAGCCTGGGTGACAATAGCAAAACTCTATCTCAAGAAAAAAAAAAAAAAAGAGAAAGAAAGAGCTTCCCAGATAAACAACAACAAAAAACCTCATCACTCCTGGACCTGCCTTACAACTAATGCTGAAGGGAATCCTTAAGTTGAAATGAAAACATGCTAGTCAACAACACAAAAGTATACAAAAATAAAAAGCTCTCTGGCAAAGGTGAATATATAGCCATATACATAATACTGTGATGGGTGGCACATAAATCATTTTTAATTGTGGTATAGGATTTAAAGATAAAAGCTGGCCAAGTGTGATGGCTCACACCTGTAATCTCAGCACTTTGGGAGGCCAAGGCAGGAGAATTGCTTGGGCTTAGGTGTTTGAGACTAGCCTGGGCAACATAGGGAGACAACATCTCTTAAAAAAAAAAACAATTAGCTGGGCATAGTGGTACACACCTGTGGTCTCAGGTACGTGGTAGTCTGATGTGGGAGGATTGCTTGAGCCTGGAAAGTAGAGGCTGCAGTGAGCAATGATCATGTCACTGCACTCTAACCTGGGTGACAGAGCGAGACCCTGTCTCATAAATAGATAAATAAAATGTATATAAAAATGTAAATATAGAAATAATAAAATGTATAAAATAAAATTATAAATATCAATAAGTATAAATATAAATAATAAAAATTAAAAATAGGCTTGGCACGGTGGCTTACGCCTGTAATCCAGCACTTTGGGAGGCTAAGGCAGGCGGATCGCTTGATTCCAGAAGTTCGAGACCAACCTAGGCAATGTGGTAAAACCCTGTCTCTACTAGAAATAACAAAAATTAGCCAAGTATGATGGTGTGTGCCTGTAGTCCCAGCTACCTGGGAGGCTGAGGCGGGAGGATCACCTGAGCCCAGGAGATCAAGGCTGAAGTGAGCTGTGTTCACGCCACTGTACTCTAGCCTGGGCCACAGGGTGAGACCCTGTCTCAAAAATAAAAATACTAAAAAAAAACCTATTACTATAAAACCATGCTAATGGATACAAAATATCCAAAAGATATAATTCATGAGATAAATAACAAAAAGCAGGGGTAGGGGAAGATGAAGTAGAGTTTTTGTATATGATTGACATTATCATCTTAAAATAGGTTGTTACAACTATTTTTATGATTTTTATGCAATTTCCTACGGTAACTACAAAGAAAATACCAACAACAAAAAGAAAATAATGTCATTACAAAAAAAAAAAATCAGTGAAATACAAAAGAAGGCAGCAAGAGAGGAAAAGAAGAACAAAACTGCAACACAGAGAAAAAAACAAACTGGCAGTGATAAGTCCTTCCCTATCAGTAATTATTTTAAATGTAAGTGGATTAAACCCATCAATCAAAAGATACCGAGTGGCTGAATGGATAAAAAACAAAAACAAAAACAAGATCCAACGTATATCTTGTCTTCAAGAGACTCACTTTAGATGTTAGGACACATATAGGCTGAAAGTCAGACCATAGAGAAAGATAATTCCACGTAAATGGTAACCAAAAAAGAACAGGAGTAGTCATACTTGTATCAGACAAAATAGGTTTTAAGTCAAAAACTGTCATGAGAGACAAAGAATGACATGATGATAAAAAGACCAATTCACCAGGAAGACACAACAATTATATATGTACTTAACATCAGAACATCCACATATATGAGGCAAATATTGACATAACTGAAGGTATACAATTATAGTAGGAGATTTTAATACCCAACTTTCAATAATGGATAGAACAACCAGACAAAAGGTTAGTAAGGAAACAGAAGACTTGAACAACATGACACACCAATTAGAACCTAATGGACAAGTACATAACACTCCACTCAGCAGCAGAATACACGTTCTTTTCAAGTGCACATGGAACATTTTCCAGGATAGATCACGTTAGGTCACAAAATAAGTCCTAACAAATTTAAGAAGATTCAAATCATACCAACCGTCTTTTTTTTTTTTTTTTGACCATAATAGAATGATACTAGAAATAGCAGAAGAAAAACTAGAAAGTTCACAAATATGTGGAAGTCAACACAACTCTTGAACAACCAATGAATCAAACAGGAAATCACAAGGAAAATTTGAAAATATCTTAAGTGAAAATGAAAACAACATACCAAAACTTATGGGTTGCAACAAAAGCAGTACTATGAGCAAACTTTATAGGGGTAAATGCCTACGTTAAAAATAAGAAAGGGCCGCCCCTACTGGGAGGTGAGGAGCCCCTCTGCCCGGCCAGCCGCCCCGTCCGGGAGGGAGGTGGGGGGGTCAGCCCCCCGCCCGGCCAGCCGCCCTGTCCGGGAGGTGAGGGGCGCCTCTGCCCGGCCGCCCCTACTGGGAAGTGAGGAGCCCCTCTGCCCAGCCACCACCCCGTCTGGGAGGTGTACCCAACAGCTCATTGAGAACGGGCCATGATGACAATGGCGGTTTTGTGGAATAGAAAGGGGGGAAGGGTGGGGAAAAGATTGAGAAATCGGATGGTTGCCGTGTCTGTGTAGAAAGAGGTAGACATGGGAGACTTTTCATTTTGTTCTGTACTAAGAAAAATTCTTCTGCCTTGGGATCCTGTTGATCGGTGACCTTACCCCCAACCCTGTGCTCTCTGAAACATGTGCTGTATCCACTCAGGGTTGAATGGATTAAGGGCGGTGCAAGATGTGCTTTGTTAAACAGATGCTTGAAGGCAGCATGCTCCTTAAGAGTCATCACCACTCCCTAATCTCAAGTACCCAGGGACACAAACACTGTGGAAGGCCGCAAGGTCCTCTGCCTAGGAAAACCAGAGACCTTTGTTCACTTGTTTATCTGCTGACCTTCCCACGCTATTGTCCTATGACCCTGTAGATTGCTGTCTACAGATGCACTGCAATCCTTATCAAAATCCCAATGACATTTTTCATGAAGATAGAAAAAAAATCCAAAAATTGATATGGATGAAGCTTGAGGACATTATGCTAAGTGAAATTAGCCATGTACAAAAAGACAATACTGCATAATTCTACTTATATGAGGTATCTAAAGTAGTGGAACAGAAAGTAGAATGGTAGTTTCCAGGGGCTGGGGAGAGAGAAAAATTGTATAGAGTTTCAGGTCGGGTGTGGTGGCTCATGCCTATAATCCCAGCACTTTGGGAGGCGGAGGTGGGCGGATCACTTGAAGTGGGGAGTTCGAGACCAGCCTGGCCAACATGGAGAACCTCATCTCTACTAAAAATACAAAAATTAGCTGGGCGTGGGGTGTGGTGACACGCGCCTGTAATCCCAGCTAGTCAGTAGGCTGAGGCAGAGAATTGCTTGAATGTGAGAGGTGGAGGTTGCAGTGAGCTGAGATTGTGCCGCAGCACTCCAGCTCAGGCAATGGAGGGAGACTGTCTCGAAAAAAAAAAAAAAGCATATAGAGTTCCAGTTTTGCAAGATGGAAAGGTTCTAAAGAGCTGTTGCACAACTATATCTATATGTCTGTCTGTCTGTCTATCTATCTATCTATCTATCTATCTATCTATCTATCTATCTATCTATATGTATTTTCTTTTTTTGAGATCAAGTCTTGCTCTATTGCCCAGGCTGGAGTGCAGTAGTGGATCTTGGCTCACTGCAACCTCCACCTCCCGGGTTCAAGAGATTCTCCTGCCTCAGCCTTCTGAGTAGCAGAGACTACAGGTTTACACCATCATGCTGGGCTAATTTTTATATTTTTAATAGAGATGGGGTTTCACCATGTTGGCCAGGCTGGTCTTAAACTTTTGACCTCAAGTGATCCACACGCCTTGGCCTCCCAAAGTGCTGGGATTACAGGCATCAGCTACCATGCCTAGCCACAATGTGCATATAATTAACACAACTGTACTGTGCACTTTAAAAATGGTTATGATGGTGAAGTTCATGGTGTGTGTGTGTGTGTGTGTGTGTGTGTGTGTGTGTGTTTTCCTGAGACAGGGTCTTGCTCTGTCACTCAGGCTGGAGTACAGTGGCACGAGCACAGCTCACTGCAGCCTCAAACTCCTGGGCTCAAGCAATCCTCCCACCTCAGCCTCCTGGGTAGCTGGGACTACAGGTGTGCACCACCATACCTGGCTAATTCTTGTATTTTTTGTAGAGACGAGGTCTTACATGTTGCCCAGGCTGGTCTCAAACTCCTGAGCTCAAGTGATCTGCCTGCCTTGGCCTCTCAAAGTGCTGGGATTATAGATGTGAGCCACCGTACCCAGCATGTGTTTTTTAACCACAATAAAAAAAAAAATTGAAAGCTGTCTGCACAGAAACAAACAAAACATGAGGGGACTGGCCCACAATGTGTTATAGACATTACAGTATGCTGTATAATAGTGGCTGTTCACAGTGGTGTCCTGAGCCAGTGAAATGATTAAATATTCAGACTGTTTAACCAGGCAAGCATAATACATGTAACAAAGTATGTTCATTTAAAACATTTTAAATTTTGGTCCCTTGAAAAGGGTTATACTTTTGTTTCTGGAAAATTAACTCAGGAGGAACATTTCATTCCCTAGTGAGGCTGGATAAATGACACACAGTTGAAATGTCTTATCTCCGAAGTACTTAAGGTGCCACCAAGCACCTTAAATGACAAAGCAGAAAATGTCAGAGAATGACAGTTAAGAAGAACTAGGCCGGGTGCGGTGGCTCTCGCCTGTAATCCCAGCACTTTGGGAGGCCAACACGGGTGGATCACGAGGTCAGGAGATGGAGACCATCCTGGCTAATACAGTGAAACCCTGTTTCTACTAAAAATACAAAAAATTAGCCGGGAGTGGTGGCAGGCACCTGTAGTCCCAGCTACTCGGGAGACAGGCAGGAGAATGGCGTGAACCTGGGAGGCGGAGCTTGCGGTGAGTCAAGATCACCCCATTGCACTCTAACCTGGGCGACAAAGCAAGACTCTGTCTCAAAAAAAAAAAAAAAAAAGAAAAACTAGTGTGTGCATGTATTTATGTACGTGTCTGTGTGTTCATTCTCCAGAGCATCATTAAATAAGAATCAAAGTTCCAGACATCTCTCAATTGGCTCCCTTAATTCAGCCACTCCTGAAGAGTTTAAGGTGGGCATCATTGGAGGTGGCCACCTTGGGAAGCAGCTGGCTGGCACACTGCTGCAGCTTGGCCCCATCCCTGCTGAAAGCCTGCGGATCTCCACTCGGAGGCCAGAGACTCTGGGTGAGGAGCAGTGTGTGGTAGAAAGGGGGCTTGGTTGTGCTGTGTAGGTGTCAACAAAGCCATTTTGAAAGGGTCCTCCAAAGAGGAATCCTTGCATACAGCGTGTGGAGTTCTCAGCTTGCTAGCCCTAAGAAAGGTTAGAAGCATGGCCTTTTCTCCTGTTCTTTAAAGCGACTTTTTTTCTCCATGTATGTGTTTTATATCCATGTCTCCTCCCTGTGCCCTTGGTGGTGAAGTATCTTTCCAGATCTTTGATACAGGGAAGCTTTCCATACAGAGTTCAGATCTTCTAACTGAATCAGTTAGGGTCTGGTTGGGTGTTAAACAGTTCCAGGCATTTGCAGTTGGCCTTATATTTTTAAAAATGACATTTACTGACTTTAAAAAAATGTTTTGTGGTCGGGCGCGGTGGCTCACGCCTGTAATCACAGCACTTTGGGAGGCCAAGGCGGGCAGATGACGAGGTCAAGAGATTGAGACCATCCTGGCCAACATAGTGAAACCCTGTCTCTATTAAAAATACAAAAATTAGCTGGGCATGATGGTGCGTGCCTGTAGTCCCAGCTACTCAGGAGGCTGACGCAGGAGAATTGCTTGAACCCAGGAGGCAGAGGTTGCAGTGAGCTGAGATCACACCACTGCACTCCAGCCTGGAGATAGAGTAAGACTCCGTCTCAAAAAAAAAAAAAAAAAAGTTTTGTAATGATTCCATTTATGGTGATAGAAATCAGAACAATGATTTCTTCTGGGGAGATAGACTGAGAAAGTCCCAAAGCAACTTTTTCTGGGGAGATGAAAATGTTTTATATCTTGAGAGAGAGGTATGGGTTAAATGGGTGTATGCTTTTGTCAAAACTGATCAAACTGTACACTTCATATCTGTGTTTTGCATTATATGTAAATTATACTTCAATAATAAAAAATGTAAAATAATATGCATATTGTAGAAAATTTGTCTACAAGGAAGGATACAACTACCTATAATCTACTCGGGTTATTTCCTTCCCGTGTTTTTTTTTTCTCTAATTATATCAGTAATCGACACTGTATACAGTTGTTTGTATTCTGTTTTTTTTTACATAATGTATCATGAGCATATTCTCGTATCGTTTAACATTTTTTGAAATAATGATTTGCCCACACCTGTAATCCCAGTACTTTGGGAGGCCGAGGTGGGCAGATCACCTGAGGTCAGGAGTTTGAGACCAGCCTGGCCAACATGGTGAAACCCAGTCTCTACTAAAAATACAAAAATTAGCCAGGTGTAGTGGTGGGTTCCTGTAGTCCCAGCTACTCAGGCGGCTGAGGCAGGCAAATCACTTGAACCCAGGAGGCGGAGCTTGCAGTGAGGTGAGATCACATCATTGCACTCCAGCCTCAGCAACGGAGTAAGACTCTGTCTCAATTAATCAATCAATAAGAAATAATGATGTTAAGCCCCTCCACTTTCCCACAGTAGAAGGTTACCCCAGCAGGCTTTGAGCACAGTCTCTTGCATCTCCCTAGCAGGGTGTGCTTGCTGTACCTGGTGTTTGGATGCACAGACTATGTAGTTGTGCCCAGCAGTGGCTAAGACCACTAGACACCCTACACTATTCTTCCTTTCTCTGTTTTCATCTCAGGATTTAAAATTTTAATTATATTAGTAAGAGATTAATGTAAAAAAATAGATTTTAAGGTTGTATAATATCCCAAAGTATGGATGTACCATAATTTATGTAACTATGCCTTATTTAGTTGAACTTCCTTGTACATAATTTTCCAAATAAAGTTATTAGGCCAAAGAATTGGTACAGCTTTATTAAATTTTTTTTTTTTTTTTTTTTTTTTTTAGACTGAGTCTTGCTCTGTCACCTAGGCTGGAGTGCAGATCGTGGAGAGCACGATCTCGGCTCACTGCAACCTCTGCCTCCCGGGTTCAAGCGATTCTCCCGCCTCAGCCTCCTGAGTAGCTGGAATTACAGGCATACGCCACCACACCCAGCTAAATTTTTTTGCATTTTTAGTAGAGACGGGGTTTCACCATGTTAGCCAGGCTGGTCTTGTACTCCTGACCTCAGGTGATCTGCCTGCCTCGGCCTCCCAA
The DNA here is from genome assembly GCF_000001405.40 of Homo sapiens. Lineage (NCBI taxonomy): Eukaryota > Metazoa > Chordata > Mammalia > Primates > Hominidae > Homo > Homo sapiens. The sequence continues at coordinate 77,411,847 of NC_000014.9, read as the reverse complement.
AGTGCCGGGATTACAGGCGTGAGCCACTGCACCTGCCCCTAAAATATTATTTCTATACAATAAATGGCACACAGTTAAAAGAGTACAATTTGATGTTTTGACACGTATACAACTGTGAAACCATCACAAGGTAATGAACGTATCCCATCACCCCCAAAAGTTGCCACTTGTCTTTGGTAATCCCTTTCTGTCCACTTCCCTGAAGCTCTCCACCCATGAAACCAACAATCTGATTTCTGTCACCATAGATTAGTGTGCATTTTCTAGAATTTTATCTAAATGGAATCATACAGTTTGTAGTGTTTTTTTAGTCTAACTTCTTTCACACTGCATAATTTGTTTGAAATATATCCAAGTTTTTTTTTTTTTTTTTTTTTTGAGACAGAGTCTCACTCTGTCACCCAGGCTGGAGTACAGTGGTGTGATCTCGGCTCACGGCAACCTCAGCCTCCCGGGTTCAAGCGATTCTCCTGCCCCAGCCTCCCAAGTAGTTGGGATTACATGCGCTCACCACCATGCCCAGCTAATTTTTTGTATTTTTAATAGAGATGGTGTTTCATCATGTTGGCCAGGCTGGTCTCCAACTCCTGACCTCAAGTGATCCTCCCACCTCAGCCTCCCAAAGTGCTGGGATTACAAGCGTGAGCCACCATGCCCAGCTGAAATATATCCACGTTTTTAATGTATCAATATCCTTTTTTATTTCTGAGTAGTATTTCCCTGCATGATTATTCCACAGTTTATTTATTTGGTTGACTTAGGCTGTTTGCAGTTTCTGGCTATTACAAATAAAGCTGCCATGAATACATGTATATAAGTGTTCATGTAGGCAACTACTTTCATTTTTCTTGGGTAAATATGTGGCAGTGAAATGGCTGGGTCATGTGGTAGGTATATCTTTAAAATTTAAAGAAACTTCTAATGTATTTTTTCAAATTGACCTCCCAAAAGGTTTTCAGGTATACTTTTTTACCAACATTGCATAAGAACACCCATTTCACTACACACAGGTCAGTGCTGGGATCATTTTTAACATCACCATTTTAATATACTTTAAATTATTTTCTTGTTTTAATATGTCTTTCATTAATCAATAGAAGAGTTTTATTTTCTTAGGTTTATTACTATGTCATTTTTTCTGAGGTGCTTCTGACCATTTTTTCTGTTGGTGTGCCTGTATTTTTCTTACTTACTTTATTTATGTATTTATTTATGTATATATGTATTTATTTATTTTGAGATGGAGTCTCACTTTGTCACCCAGGCTGGAGTGTAGTGGCATGATCTCGGCTCACTACAACCTCCCTGCCTCCCAAGCTCAAGTGATTCTCATGCCTCAGCCCCTCACATACCTGGGATTACAGGCACACACCACCATGCCCAGCTAATTTTTGTATAATATTTTAGTAGAGACAGGGTTTTGCCATGTTGGCCAGGCTGGTCTCGAACTCCTGGCCTCAAGTGATCCATTTGCCTTAGCCTCCCAAAGTGCTGGGATATAGGTGTGAGCCACAGTGCCCAGGTTTATTTTTCTTATTGATTTGTAATGTTTTTTTCTTTTTTTCTTTTGGTTTATAAATAGAGACAGGGTGTCACTCTAATGCCGAGGCTAGTCTTAAACTGCTAGGCTCAACCAGTCCTCCCACTTCACCCTCTGAAAGTGCAGGTATTGCAGGAGTAAGTCACCACACCTGGCCATTTTTTTTTTCCTATATTCCTAAGGAAACTAAAAAAAAAATCTTACCAACTGGGCATGGTGGCTCATGCCGGTAATCCCAGCACTCTGAGAGACTGAGTCAGCTGCATCACTTGAGGCCAGGAGTTTGAGACCAGCCTGGCCAACATGATGAAACCCCATCTCTGCTAAAAATACAAAACTTAGCCAGGCATGATGGCACATACCTTCGAATCCCAGCTACAGGGGAGGAATGAGAATTGCTCGAACCCAGGAGGCAGAAGTTGCAGTGAGCCAAAATTGTACCACGCACTCCAGCCTGGATGACAGAGCAAGACTCTGTCTCAAAAAAAAAAAAAAAATCTCAAGGTATATATCTTTATCCCATCAATAGGACTAATATATGTGATATTTCAACAAAGTATATATATTCTTTGCAAAGCAATATATTTATTAGAATAAAATTATAGTTGTAAAATATCACTATGTGTTGTGTAAGGAAACAATAATTCAAAATGCTCAACATCAGCTTCTATGCACATGAAAAGAATGAGAACAACACAGGAGAGAATGATAGATAGGCCTGTTTTCTAAACTTTGTCCTGTTGTATTAGTCTGTTTTCACACTGCTATAAAGATACTGTCTGAGACTGGGTAATTTATAAACAAAAGAGGTTTAATTGACTCACAGTTCTGCATGGCTGTGAAGGCCTCAGGAAACTTACAGTCATGGTGGAAGGTGAAGCAGAAGCAGGCACCTTCTTCACAAGGTGGCAGGAGAGAGCACACAGGGGAAAGTGCCATGTTTAAACCATCAGCTCTCATGAGAACTCCCTCGCTATCATGAGAACAGCATGGGGGAAACTGCCCCCATGATCCAATCACCTCACACCAGGTCCCTCCCTCAACACGTGGGGAGTACAATTCGAGATGATATTTGGGTGGGGGCACAGAGCCAAACCAAATCATCTGTCTTTCTTCCAGGTTTATCAGTATCTAGATAACCTTAGCATTACATTTGCCATGTACTCTCAGTGGTTAACATAAGAAGTCACTCTCCAATGTCTGTTATATTCTGTTTTCCAATGACATTTATGACATACCACCAGATGTGAGTGAACACTTTAGGTTTATACTTTTGAAAATCCATATTGCCTCATGCCCATAATCCCAGCACATTTGGGAGGCTATGGCAGGGGGATCACTTGAAGCCAGGAGTTGGAAACCAGCCTGGATAACAGTGAGATCCCATCGCTAGCCAAAAAAAAAAAAAAAAAAAATTAACTACCAGTGAGTGTTTTTATGCAACTACATGAGTTATCAGTCTTTCTTCATTTATAGATATCCTAATAAAATTAATTTGTATATACTTTACAGAAACTGTTAAATCTTTGCAAACCCTTCTCAGCCTCTGATTTATACCTTCCACTCTCCTAGTCTTTTCCACCACCTCAAGCCAGCAGCTCTGTAACTTTGGACAAGTCATATAACTTCTTGAATCCTCAGTCTCATCTGTAAAATGGGACTGCTACTCGTTTCTGCTTCATAAGGTCCTTGTGGGGGTTACACCTTAGAAACTGTAAAGTCCTTTGTACATTATCTGACACATGGTTATCCTGCAGTACATTGGAGTAAAAGACTTCTCTGAGATTTTTTTTCTTCCTAAAAAAAAAGTCTGGGCAGCACATAGGGCTCATGCCTGTAATCCCAGGACTTTGGGAGGCGGAGGTGGGAGGATCACTTGAGTCCTGGGGTTTGAGGCCAACCTAGGCAACATAGTGAGACCTTGTCTCTACACAAAATAAAAAAATTAGCTGGGCATGGTCACACTCACCAGTGGTCCCAGCTACTTGGGAGGCTGAGGCGGGAGGATCCCTTGAGCTCAGGAAGTTGAGGCTATAGTAAGCCATGATCACACCACAGGTGACAAAGCAAGACCCTGTCTTAAAAAAAAATTGGAAAAATTCCAGCACTTGATCTAAAAGTAAGATAAAGGTGAATTATAGGCCAGGCGTGGTGGCTCACGCCTGTAATCCCTGCACTTTGGGCGGACGAGATGGGCGGATCATCTGAGGTTGGGAATTTGAGACCAGCCTGGCCAACATAGTGAAACCCCGTCTCTACTAAAAATACAAAGACTAACTGGGCATGGTGGCGCATGCCTGTAATCTCAGCTACTTGAGCAGCTGAGGCAGGAGAATCGCTTGAACCCGGGAGGCGGAGGTTGCAGTGAGCCGAGATTACGCTAGTGTACTGCAGCCTGGGCGTCAGAGTGAGACTCCGTCTCAAAAAAAAAAAAAAAAAAGATGAATTATAATTTCAAGTACTACTGCTGCTTTAGTAATAGAGTTAGGGCATTGCTGCGTGGCTTTTAGAAGGTCTGTAGGAAGGAATATCTTCTGATTTATGGAGCAATAAGATGGGTTGATTTACTGAGCTAAAATAATGATCACCCTCTCCCCATAGTTGATGTTCAGGTCAAACTCTTTAGTACTGTGCTCTTCCTGTCTTCCTTTATCCCTCCCAGGTGAGCTCCAGAAGCTGGGAATCAAATGCTTTTACCATAACGCTGATCTGGTGAGTTGGGCCGATGTGATATTCCTCTGCTGCTTGCCGTCTCAGCTGCCTAATATCTGCGTAGAAATTTACACCAGCCTTGAGAAGGCCAGCATTGTGTACAGCTTTGTAGCTGCCATCCCACTACCCAGGTATCTTGTTAGGGTGAGAATGGAACTGGCACAACTGCTCTGTCTCCTTATCTCTGACTTCTGCCTCCCACCTCCACTGTAGCCCCTATCTCTTAGAGTTGGTTGTTTCCAGTAATAAGGAGGAAGCAGCTTTATCTGTAGAAGAACATAGTTAGCCAATCTTTCTCGTAACTTCCCTACTTACCCACAAATAGTAACCACAAACCATTTTTGTTGCTGTACAAAGGTTTAAAATTGCAATAGAACATTTATTCCCATTACTTGAACACTGAAGTATTCTCCTTGTGCATCAATGAGAAGAGAAACCATCGGTCAATAACATGAAAAGTTACTGAAAGTATGTGTCAAATATTATTTCTGCACACTTAGTTTCTAGCCCAGTGCCTAGCACATAACATTCAATAAGTAAGGATTTGTTAGGTGGATGAACAGTCCAGTTAATTAGTGCTCTCAGCACAGACCCAGACCCGCATTTATCTCTGAGCTGTGTGGGGGAGTCTGTTGATGGGGTTGGATGTAAACACAGTGGGTTATGTCGTCATTTATTCCAGTCCTGGCATTGCACTCCCTGTCTTGGCTTTACTTCCAGGCTGAAACTACTGTTGAACCACACCAATATCTTGCGGCCTCAGTATCAGTATGATGAAGATTCTGTCAGCGTCTGGGGGGCCAATAAGGGAGTCATAGCTGCTCTCCAAGATCCTACGATTCTTCAAGCTACCTGTCCCTACAGTCCTGCTGGTCACGGCTCAACATATTTCTGGCATTCTTTTGAAAATTACTTTCCTGTTGGCCCATTGCTATCTTATTAAATCAATCTCTCTCTCTCTGTGTGTGTGTGTGTGTGTGTGTGTGTGTGTGTGTGTGTGTGTGTAAGGCACAAGGTACTGCAGGAGAGCTACTTAGGAAGAGCTGAGAAGCTTGATCATTTGGACTTCTTAAGGACAAATTAAAACCAAAAGAGGAGATAGCTTATTTCAATAGGAGGATGTAATGTTGGACTAAAATGGCTTTTCCCTGTTCTAATCTTGTAGTTTTCCCCAGTTCCTTCTCCATATTAGCAACGACTATTCCAGAGACACTTTTTGCCATTAGCAATGTCTACATTAGTTGTATCTGTCCACTTTTGGGATGGTCAACACATGATGTGTTATAAAGGGCACAAGTAGCACTTGTGGCTCAGGAAGGAATGTTTGCTTATCTTGTGGTTCATATTACCAATCTGTCTTGGAAAAAAGGCGGCTATTCACTGTCAGGGGTTTATTCTAGGTTTTCTGCAACTCATTTTTGGTGGTGCTAACTGGTATTTACCTTCTCATTGATGTGTAGGGGGAATAATCCTCAATATCAAGTGGTTGGAGGGAGTGTTCTATGCGGCCCTAAACATATGCACAGCAAGAAACATGGCCCACTCCCAAGTGCTGCAGCTTCTGAGTGAACTCTTTCTCTCCGTGCACTTTGAAGACTGTGGGAAAGACACAGCATCTTGCCCAAAGTTGCAATTAACAGATTTTGTCAGCAAAGCCTATGGCAAGAATTTGTCTCAGGAAAGGTAAGGGCATTGGACAGCTGGCCATTCTCATTTCTCCCAGACTCTTCTCTTAGTTAATGCTTTTTTTCTTTTATCCTTTCATGTTCTCTTTAAACATTGATAAAAATTATACCTTTTTGTAAAGAATTTCAACTAGTGGAAAAGTAAATGCCATCCTTTGCCTTCCAAATCCCATTTCATAGATTTCACCTCTAACAGTTTTTATATTTTTATCTATGCATTTACAAACATTTATATTGTTATAATGTATATGCATATCTATTCCTATATATACAGTGTTAGACACATGGGAACTATATATTCTGCTTTTTTACTTACTGTATCACAGCTACCATTCTATGTTAGTACAATCATAGCTACTTCATTTATGAGCAGCTACCTAGGTGTCCACCGGACACATTTATTCCATTAAATTTATTCACTCCTTTTCCACTTGATAGAGATGTAGTTCCTCCTCTCATCCCCAATTTTGCATTACGGGCTGCTTTGACATTCTTTATTTTATTTTATTTTATTTTGTGAGACAGTCTTGCTCTGTCACCCAGGCTGGAGTGCAGTGGCACGATCTCGGCTCACTGCAACCTCTGCCTCCCGGCTTTAAGTGATTCAAGTGCCTCAGCCTCCCGAGTAGCTGGGATTACAGGCATGTGCCACCATGCCTGGCTAATTTTTGTATTTTTAGTAGATACAGGGTTTCGCCATGTTGGCCAGGCTGGTCTCCAACTCTTGACCTCAAGTGATCCGCCCGCCTTGGCCTACCAAAGTGCTGGGATTACAGGTGTGAGCCAGTGCGCCTGGCCTGCTTTGAACATTCTTGTACTTTGTGCACTTGTACCAGTATTTCGGTGGCATATGTGAAAGAAGCTCTGGGTCAAAGTTTATGCATATTTTATATTTGATAGGTGTTCCCAAATTGCTTATAAAAAATGTGGTACTTGTTTACATTTCTACCAACAGCATATGAGGGTGCCACTTCTTTAATATCTGATAACTATCAAATAAATATTTTTGATCTTTGATAATCTAATATGCAAAGATTATTGCTCTTATTACTAGTGACTTCCATGTCACTAGATCCACTGGATGCTTTAAACTCTTTTTCTTCCTTAATTATTGAACATGCCATCCTTCTTGAAGCAGTCTCTTCTCTAGGCTGTCATGATCCCTCCCGTTCTCCTCATTTTCTTCCTGACTCCCCGGCCCCTCCTTGGCTAGCTTCTCCTCTGCCTCACCCTTAAATCTGGGTGTTTTCAGGGCTCTATCCTAGGCCCTTTTCTTTTCATGCTATACTTCTTTTCATTCTATACTTTGTTCCCGGTGATCTTTTCCACTTTGGGGACTTAGGTTCCCATCTTTTCACTGACAGCATATAACTCTGTATCTCTAGCCTAAATGTCAATGCTGTGCCTAGGTAACTGTGTATTCACCATCTCCACTCAAACTCACCATGTCCAAAAACATACCTGCTCTTAAACCTGCTCTTCTGATGTTTCTTACCTAATTATATGCTGCTTCACCAAGTTGTTCAAGTCAGAACCCTAGATGTAATCCTAGATTCTTCTTCCTCATCTTTCGTATTCCAATCAATCATCAATGGACAGTTTATTCTCTATGCCTGTGATTCACGTTTGGTTTGGAGATTTTTCTTCTTCATTATCCCAGGGATTCCCCTCACTTTTCTGTTGTATTGGATCTCTTGTTTCCTGTCATGGAAACATCTCTTGTTTCTCTCTCATGAATTACTTCTTAATTTGGGGGGAACATGTCCTGTAGTACCTTCCTGAGAAAGGGTGCATTGAAATAATTTTCAGAGACTCTTTGAGATGTTTTTATTCTAGCGTTCTATTTTATTGAGAACATAGCCAGGTATAGAATTGCAGGTTGGAAATAATTTTCCCTTAAAATTTTGAGGGATTGCATCTACAGCCATACCACCCTGAACGTGCCTGATATCATCTGATCTCAGAAGCTAAGCAGGGTCGGGCCTGGTTAGTACTTGGATGGGAGAATTTTGAGGCATTGCTTCATTGTCTTTCAGCTTCTAGAGTTGCTACTGAGAGTTACAGTGCCATTCTAATTCTTAATCCTTTGTCTGAAACCTGTTTCTTTCCTTTCTGGAAGCTTATGAGATCTTTTGACCTCAGTATCTTGAAATTTTATGATGTGCCATGATGTAGGTCTATTTTAATTAAATGTTGAGCACTTGGTGGGCCTGTTATTTCCATTAACTTTTTTGTTTTTATTTTTATTTTTTTGATAGAGGGTCTTACTCTGCTGCCCAGGCTGGAATGCAGTGGTGTGTAATGTTGGCTCACTGCAACCTCCACCTCCTGGGCTCACGTGATCTTCCCACCTCAGCCTCCCGAGTAGCTGGGACTACAGGCACACACCACCACGCCTGGCTAATTTTTGTATTTTTAGTGATAAGTCTATCAAGCAATATAGTGTCTGGGATTGCCTTCAAAATAATCCAATAGATGGGGGTAAAGGAGTAGGGGTGGGGTTTTGTATGAGAAAAGATTAGCTATAAATTGATAATTGTTAAATCTGAGTGATAGGCATATGGAGTTTCGTTATACTATTTTTTGTTATATTCTTTTTTACTTAATACTATTCTATGTTTCATTCTATTTTGTTTTAAAATTTCCATAATAAAAACAAAAGGTTTCCTTCTAGTAGTTTGTCAACCCTAATTTACTCATCCCAATTTTATTCTTCTCAAGTTTTAAGAAAATCTATTTCAAATTTTATCAGTTTCCCTTTTAAGCATTTAATGAGATTTTTGTTTCTCCTCTCCTTTAAGATTGTAATATTTAATTAATGTTGTAAACTATATAGTTTTCCTGTCAAATTTTCCTTGTATTCTTTTTTTTTTCTGAGACGGAGTTTCACTTCTGTTGCCCAAGCTGGAGTGCAATGGTGTGATCTCGGCTCACTGCGATCTCTGCCTCCTGGGTTCAAGCGATTCTCCTGCCTCAGCCTCCCAAGTAGCTGGGATTACAGGCATGCACCACCACACCCGGCTAATTTTTTGTGTTTTTAGTAGAAATGGGGTTTCACCATGTTAGCAGGCTGGTCTCAAACTCCTGACCTCAGGTGATGCCCACCTTGGCCTCCCAAAATACTGGGATTACAGGCATGAACCACCATGCCTGGCCTGATGTGTAGCATCTTTTCATATGCTTATTGACCATTTGTATATTGTCTTTGGTGAAGTGTCTGTTAAGGTCTCTGGCCCATTTTTAAATTGGTTTGTGTTCCTATTGTTGAATTTTTTTGAGACGGAGGTTTGCTCTTGTTGCCCAGGCTAGAGTGCAATGGCACGATCTCGGCTCACCGCAACCTCTGCCTCCCGGGTTCAAGTGATTCTCCTGCCTCAGCCCCCCGAGTAGCTGGGATTACAGGCATGCACCACCATGCCTGGCTAATTTTTGTATTTATATATTTTTAATAGAGATGAGGTTTCTCCATGTTAGTCAGGCTGGTCTTGAACTCCCGACCTCAGGTGATCCGCTCACCTTGGCCTCCCAAAGTGCTGGGATTACAGGCGTGAGCCATGGCGCCCGGCTCCTATTGTTGAATTTTAAGAGTTCTTTGTATGTTTTGGAAAACAGTCCTTTATCTGTCTTCTGCAAATATTTTCTCTAGTCTGTGGCTTATGTTTTCATTCTCTTGACAGTGTCTTTCACAAAGCAGAGACTTTTAGTTTTAGTTATTTAAATTCTTTAATTATGTCCACCTTGTCAATTGTTTTTTTCATGGATCATGCCTTTGGTGTTAACAACTATAAAGTCACTGCCAAAGCCAAGATCATCTAGATTTTCTCCTATGTTATCTTCCAGGAGTTTTATAGTTCTGCATGTGACACATTTTGACTTAACTTCTGTGAAGGGTGTAAGGTTTGTGTCTAGATTCATTTTTTCTTTTTTGCATGTAGATATCCAAGTGCTTCAGTACCATTTGTGAAGAGACTGTCTTTTCTCCATTATATTGCTTTTGCTCCTTTGTCAAAGAGCAGTTAACTATATTTATGCGGGTCTATTTCTGGGCTTTCTATTCTATTCCACTCTATTTGTCTTTCACCAATACTGCACTGTCATGATTACTGTAGCTTTAAAGGATGTCTTGAAGTTGGGTAGTGTTACTCCTCTGACTTTGTTCTTCCATTTCAATACTGAGTTGGCTATTCTGAGTCTTGTTTGTTGTTGAGACAAGGTCTTGCTCTGCTGCCCCAGCTGGGGTGCAGTGGCACGATCATGGCTCACTGCATCCTCAACCTTCTGGGCTCAAGCAATCCTCCCACTTCAGCTTCCTGAGTAGCTAGAACTACAGAACTACAGGTGCACACCATTGTGCCCAGCTGATTTTTTATATTTTTTTGTAGAGATGGGATCTTGCTATGTTGCCCAGGCTGGTCTCAAGCTCCTGGCCTCAAGTGATCCTCCTGCCTCAGCCTCCCAAAGTGCTGGAATTACAGGCATGAGCCGTCACACCCAGCCTGTTCTGAGTCTTTTGCTCTTCCATTTAAACTTTTTTTTTTTGAGGTGGAGTCTTGTTCTGTTGCCCATGCTGGAGTGCAGTGGCGCCATCTTGGCTCACTGCAACCTCTGCTTCCTGGGTTCAAGCAATTCTCTTGCCTCAGCCTCCCCAGTAGCTGGGATTACAGGCACCCGCCACCATGCCCAGCTAATTTTTGTATTTTAGTAGAGATGGGGTTTCACCATGTTGGCCAGGCTGGTCTCAAACTCCTGACCTCGTGATCCACCCACCTCGGCCTCCCAAAGTGCTGGGATTACAGGCATGAGCTGCTGCACCTGGCCCCATTTAAACTATAGAGTCAATTTTTCAATATCCACAAAATAATTTCCTGGGATTTTGATTGGCATTGCGTTGAATGTGTAGTTCAGTTGGGAAGAACTGGCATCTTTATAGTATTGAGTCTTCTTCTCCATGAACATGAAATCTCTATATTTATTTTGTTGTTTTTAGACTTCTCTCATCAGTTTCATAGTTTTCCTTATGTAGATCTTGCACATATTTCATTTGATTTATACCTAAGTATTTCATTTTGGGGGTTCTAATATAAATGGTAATGTGTTTTTAATTTTAAATTCCACTTGTTCATTGCTGGTATATAGAAAAGACACTGACTTTTGCATATTAATCTTGTATCCTACAACTTTGCAACATACATTTAAACATTTGCCCTATTGCTTCACTAAGCCATTCTAAGTCATAAGAGACTATTCCTGTAAATTGTGTATTCAGTGAAAGGCTCATCAAAAACTCAGAAGAATAAAACCGTTTGTCTCTTATCTACCTATGACCTGGAAACCCCCGCCCCACTTGAAGTTGTCCCACCTTTCCAGACCAAACCAATGTACATCTTACATATAGTGATTGATGTCTCCTGTATTCCTAAAATGTATAAAACCATGCTGTGCCCCGACTACCTTGGGCACATGTCATCAGAACCTCCTGAGGCTGTGTCACGGGCACATAGCCACAACCTCGGCAAAATAAACTTTCTAAATTGACTGATGCTTGTCTCAGATACTTTCTGGTTTACAGTGTTATCTGTTAGATCAGTTAGGAGTAAGAAAAACTAAAGTTATCTTCACTTGTTCCTTCTTCAGTGCTCTTCTTTTCTTTATGTAGATCCGTGTTTCTGACCTATATCATTTTCCTCCTAAGGAACTTCTTTGAACATTTCTTGCAAGACAGGTCTACTGGCAACAAATTCCCTCAATTTTTGTTTGGTAAAGTCTTTATTTCTCCTTCACTTTAGAAGGATAACTTTGCACAGAGTTCTAGGTTAGTGATTTTTTTTCTTCCTGCACTTTAAATATTTCACTGCACTCTCTCCTTGCTTGCATGATCCTAAAAATCAGCTTTCTTATCTTTGTTTTTCTATGGGTATGGTGTTTTTTTTCCCTCTGGCTTATCTCAAGATTTTTTGTTTTTCTGTAGTCTCAAAATGATATGTTTAGGTATAGTTTCTTGTGTGTTTTTGTTATTTATCCTGCTTGGTGTCTTCTTGAGCTTCCTAGATCTGTGGTTTGGTGTCTGACATTAATTTGGGGGAAATTCTCAGTCATTATTGTTTCAAATATTTCTTGTGTCCTTTCTCTCCTCCTTCTAGTCTCATTATGCGCATGTTACATCTTTTGTAGTTGTCCCACAGTCCTTGGATATTTTGTTCTGTATTTTTCGTCTTTGTTTTCTTTGCTTTTCAGTTTTGGAGGTTTCTGTTGAGATATCCTCAGATTCAGAGATTATTTCCTCGGCCATGAACAGTCTACTAATAGGGGCCTCAAAGATATTCTTCATATCTGTCACAGTGTTTTTAATGAGTAGTATTTATTTTTGGTTCCTGGAACTTCCATCTTTCTGCTTCCGTAGTCTGCCGTCTACTTTATCCATTAGATCCTTTAGCATATTAGTCATAGTTATTTTATTTTTTGAGACAGGGTCTTGCTTTGTTACCCAGGCCGGAGTGCAGTGGCATGATCACTGCTCACTGCAGCTACAATCTCCCGAGCTCAAGTGATCCTCCCACCTCTCCCGAGTAGCTGGACCACAGGCACATGCCACCATGCTTGGCTAGTTTTTTTTATTATTTGTAGAGACTGGGGTCTCACTTTGTTGCCCAAGCTTGAATTCCTGGGCTCAAACAATCCTCCCACCTCGGCCTCCCAGATTGCTGGGATTACAGGAGTCACCTCACCTGGCCTCAGTCATAGTTATTTTAAATTCCCAGTCTGATTATTCCAGTATTCCTCTCATATGTGGTTCTGATGCTTGTTCTACCTTTTCAAATTGTGGGTTTTGGTGGTTTTTTGTTTTTTGGCTTTTAGTATGCCTGTTAACTTTTTCTGGATAGTCAGACATGATGTACCAGGTAAAAAGAACTGCTGTAAATAGGCTTTTTTTTGTTTGTTTTTGAGACGGAGTCTTGCCCTGTTGCCCAGGCTGGAGTGCAATAGCGCGATCTTGGCTCACTGGAACCTCCGCCTCCTGAGTTCAAACGATTCTCCTGCCTCAGCCTCCTGAGTAGCTGGGATTACAGGTGCCCGCCACCACACCCAGCTAATTTTTGTATTTTTAGTAGAGATGGGGTTTCACCATGTTGGCCAGGCTGGTTTCGAACTCCTGACACCATGATCTGCCCGCCTCAGCCTCCCAAAATGCTGGGATTACAGGCATGAGCCATCGCACCCGGCCTGTAAATAGGTCTTTAATAATGTAGTAAGGAGTTGAGGAGGGGAAGTGTTCTATAGTCCTACGGGTAGGTCTCAGTCTTTGAGTGAGCCTGTACTCTGGACTGTGAACTTCACAAGTGTTTCTCAGGATTTTTCTCCTTCTTCAGTGGAACAGGATGGCTAAAGTGGGCTGGAGTTGAGGAGCCCATTCCTCCTTCCACGTGGAAGGGTAGACCTGACTGGAACTGGCTATTTCTCTTCCCCCAGGTCAGTTAGGCTCAGATAAAACCCCAGAAGGTTTGGCTCTGGTTAAATAGTTTCTCCCAAGGGCAGACCTTGCTAAGAACAGAATGCTCTGCCATATTTCAAAATGGTTTATTTTCCTCTCCCTTTGATGGAAGCACAAGGGGATTTTTCTCAGATATCACTGAGAACCTGGTTGAGCTCCTAGAGGTAAAAATCATAAGTGTGAGGGTCCCCAGTGATTGGGTCCCCCAAGTCTGACATTTTTATTCTCAGACTTGTCCACTCTGAACCTCCAGCAATTTGTCAGTTACAGTTCCGGGTTCCCTATCTTGGCACTGGGTTCCCATAGAGGTTTCAGCTCATGGGTTTCTCCTCCAGCAAGCTACTTCTGAGCATTTGTGTTCTGGTCCCTGCAGTCTTAGGGAGAGTAGTTTGCCCTTGACCCTACCTCTCTTACACATCTAAAAGAGTTATTGATTTTTTAGTTCAGCTTTTTAATTATTGTTAGGATAGAGTGGCAACTTCTAGCTTCTTACATGTCAGACCAGAAACTGGAATTCAAGTATTTTTTTTTTTTTTTTTTGAGATGGAGTTTTAGCTCTGTCACCCAGGCTGGAGTGAGTGGTGCAATCTCGGCTAACTGCAACCTCCGCTTCCCAGGTTCAAACAATTCTCCTGCCTCTGCCTCCTGAGTAGCTAGGATTACAGCCAGTAAGCCTGGCTGACTTTTTTGTATTTTTAGTAGAGACAGGGTTTCACCATGTTGGCCAGCCTGGTCTTGAACTCCTGACCTCAAATGATCCGCCTGCCTTGGCCTCCCAAAGTGCTGGGATTACAGGTGTGAGCCACCGCACCCAGCCAAGATAATTTTTTTCTTTATTTTGAGATAAATACGGAGTCACATGAAATTGTTAAGAAATAATAGTGAAATCTCATGTACCCATTTACCCATTTTCCATCAATGGAAATAGATATTGCAAAACTGTAGCACAATATCACAGCCAGGATACTGACATTGATACAGTTAAGATATAGAACAGTTCTTTCACTAACGAATTCTTCATGTTGCCTCCTCACAGCTGCAAACTTGGTAACTTCTAATGTGTTCTTCATTCCTATAATTTTGTCATTTCAAGAATGTTATATAAGTGGAATCATATGTATGCCACCTTTTGAAACTGGCTTTTTTCATTCAGCAAGTCTCTGGAGATTCATCCAAGTTGTTATGTGTATTAATAGTTGGCTTTTATTGCTGAATAATATTCCACGGCATGGCTGTATCACAATTTGTTTAACCATTCACCTGTTGAAGGACATCTGGGTTGATTCCAGTTTTTGGCTATTATGAATAAGGGTGTTATGAACATTCATGTACAGGCTTTTGTGTGAACATAAGTGTCCACTTACCTGGAATGAATGACCAGGAGTGTAATTATTGTCATTTGGTAGTTGCATATTTATTTTTTTAAGACACTGCCAAATTGTTTTTCACAGTAGTACCAGTTTATATTATCACTAGCAATGTATAATCCAGTTTCTCTGCATCCTCACCAGCAACTGGTGTTGGCAATAATTTTTATTTTGTGATTACATCTATAGATCAATTTTTGGAAAACTGACATCTTAATTTTGTTGAGTTTTCCCACTCATTAATATAGTATGTTTCTCTAGATATTCTTTGCTTTCATCAGCATTTTATAGTTTTTATTATGCAAGTCTTGTACATGTTTTATTGGATTTACATCTAAGTATATCATTTTTTGGAGTGACAATAAATGAAAAAACATTTTCAATTTTGGTGTCCACATGTTTATCACTATTGTATATAAATACAATTGATATTTGTATGTTTATTTTGTATCCTGCAACCTTGCTGAATTCATTAGTTCTAGGAGGTTTTAAAAATAGATTCCTTGGGCTGGGTGCGGTGGCTCATGCCTGTAATCCCAGCACTTTGGGAGGCCGAGGCAGGTGAATCACCTGAGGTCAGGAGTTCCAGACTAGCCTGATGAACATGGAGAAACCCCATCTCTATTAAAAATACAAAATTAGCCAGGCATGGTGGTGCATGCCTGTAATCCCAGCTACTTGGGAGGCTGAGGCAGGAGAATCACTTGAACCCAGGAGGCGGAGGTTGTGGTGAGCTGAGATCACACCATCGCACTGCAGCCTGGGCAACAAGAGCGAAACTCCATTTCAAAAAAAAAAAAAAAAAAGATTCCTTGGAGTTTTCTACATAGATAATAATGTCATGTATAAATAGAGACGGTTTCATTTCTTCCTTTCCAATGTCCATGCCTTCTAATTTCCTTTTCTTGCCTTATTGCATTGCCTAGAACTTCTAGTACTATTCTGTATAAGACTGGTGAGAGCAGGTATCTTTGCCTTAGCCTTACTCTTGATTTTTTTTTTAACAGACAGGGTCTCACTATGTTGCCCAGGCTGGCCTTGAACTCCTGGGCTCAAGCAATCCTCTTCTCTCAGCCTCCTGAGTAGCTGGGACTACAGGTGCGCACCATCATGCCTGTCTCTCCTGATCTTTTGAAAAATATTGAAACCCTATGTCTTAAGGCTTTTTAACTTGAATTACACTATAGACTAATACTTAATGTTGCCCCGTTAGGTATTCATTTGCATATTAACTTTCCTCTCTGTTTTTTTAGAGATGGGGGTCTCACTCTGTAGCCCAGGCTAGAGTGCAGTGGTGTGATCATAGCTCACTGCAGCCTCGACCTGCTGGGCTCAAGCAATTTCCCACCTCAGCCTCCTGAGTAGCTGGGACTACAGGTGTGTCCCTCCACATCCAGCTAATTTTTTTTTTAATTTGTACAGATGAGGTCTCATTATGTTGTCCAGGCTGGTCTCAAACTCCTGACTTCAAGTGATCCTGCTGCCTTGGCCTCCCAAAGTGCTAGGATTACAGGCATGAGTCACTGTGCCCAGCCTACTTTTTAATCTATACAGCTAAAGAGGATATCTTAAAAGCAATTAGACTTCTTCCTTGCTTAATGTCCACGATCTTATATATGTTCTTTCTAAATTCGAGAAAAATATTCTGCAGCCGGGCGCAGTGGCTCACGCCTGTAATCCCAGCACTTTGGGAGGCCGAGACGGGCAGATCACAAGGTCAGGAGATTGAGACCATCCTGGCTAACACGGTGAAACCCCGTATCTACTAAAAATACAAAAAAATTGGCTGGGCGTAGTGGCGGGCGCCTGTAGTCCCAGCTACTCGGGAGGCTGAGGCAGGAGAATGGCATGAACCTGGGAGGTAGAGCTTGCAGTGAGCCGAGATCGCGCCACTGCACTCCAGCCTGGGCGACAGAGCAAGACTCCATCTCAAAAAAAAAAAAAAGAAAGAAAAAAAAGAAAAATTTTCTGCAAAGGGTGTCAATGTTAATATTATAATAATTCTTTAACAATGAATTCCTCTCCAAATGCACTTAGAGAAATGTACATAAGTGTGAGAAATCACCATTAAGTACACTTAAATCTACACATTGACTAGTTCTAGCTGAATTTCTAGTTTATGAAAAGGTATTAATGTTTCTAGTTTATGAAAAGGTAATGAGGAAAACTTTCTTTAAAAGATGTGTTTAACAGCCAAATCAGATATACTGAACAGACATAAAAAAGTAACAATATTTTTTTCACCTCAGGCCTTTCCCCTGGTTTGATCTGACTGCTGTGCAACTCAAGGAAACTCCGTTTAGCCAGCATCTCTCAAGTAGTCCTGTTCTCCAAGACCACCTTACCCATCTATACTGTGCTTCATTTGGCATCTCCCTAACCAAAGAACAGCCAGTCATTTCCACAGGCTTTCCATCCCAATAAGAGAACTCAGGAATCAGGATTTTTTCCCACTCACAGATTTTCCCTATAATAGTTGTGCCCTGATTATCACAATTGACTGTGGGAGTCTTGTGGCTGTATTGTGTTTGCCACATGATAGACATCAGGAATTATAAAACTGTACTGATGACTCTTTAAAATGTAGAATAAAACAAGTGGTCCTATCCATCAATATGTATCTGGCTCTCAGAAGCAACTAGTGAAACTACACAACCTAACTTAAGTAAGCTGCTCCCGCAGAAAAGTCTTGTTAATACAAATTATTTCTCTTCTAAAATTAAAGAAGTTATAATGTTATAAGTTTTAGACAATTACATACTGCAGCTTCTTTTCCAATAAATCAAGTTTCAATCCATTTGCCAGCAGTAGGTAGCTGGAAAAAGATACAGTTTGATTTTCTCACAATTTTGGACAGAGAAGTGAAGGTATGGTAAACCATCTTAATTGAATTATGGCTTGTATCATGCTTATTTTGACTATATATGACTGTTCTGGTACTATCTTATTTACAGCTGTTCCCATTTAAACCATTTAAAAAACTGGTATTTAATGGCTAAAACTAATTTTGCAAAATATAGATCTATACTGCAAATTTGTTGATTTCCTTTATGTTTTGCAAATACTTTTTGTCAGTTATAAGAGTTGAAAACAACAGGGATGTCACTATGCTCTGTCATAGAACATAACTACTGTTTGCTAAATGCTAAAGGGCTTTTGAACAAAACCATTCACTATATATGTAAATCACTATGGTCTTAGGTTAATCATTTACCTTTTGTTTTTTTACATAATCGTGAGCCAGGCAAATGCAATGGTATGGTGTTAGAATGGTTTCTGATACAATTTTGTTAGTCCAATTTGGGAAAATATTAGGTTCATCATCAAATATTAACACTTGGCATGAATATTCATTTGAGGCACTCTTGCTTTTCTCAGTGGAAAAACAGAAAAACATCTTTTACTATTCATTCTGGTGTAGGGAACTGGAGCTTCATCACTGTCCTTCAGGACTGTGTTAGCCCATGGTTGTTTTCAGAATTAAAATATGAGTCCAGGAAGAGAATGAGCAGTTAAATCTGTAAAACTAGAGGGGAACTGGAGCCATTCAGGTAACGAGAAATATTTTATAATTTCTTTTTTTATTTTTATTTATTTATTTATTTTGAGATGGAGTCTCACTCTGTTGCCCAGGCTGGAGTGCAATGGCGCAATCTTGGCTCACTGCAACCTCCACCTCCCGGGTTCAAGTGATTATCCTGCCTCAGCCTTCCGAATAGCTGGGATTACAGGCGCACACCACCACACCTGGCTAATTTTTGTATTTTTAGTAGAGACAGAGTTTCATCACATTGGCCAGGCTGGTTTCAAACTCCTGACCTCAAGTGATCCACCTGCCTCGGCCTCCCAAAGTGCTGGGATTACAGGCATGATCCACTGCACCCGGCCTATAATTTCTTTTGAGAAGTGCAGTCATGGGTAGACTCTAGCCTAAATTTTGTATTATAAAGACCTGGAAAGTACCACATAAAAAAGCCTGTAAGCAAACCACAGAACCTATTTCATAGTGGTAAGCCATGTTTAGATATTTACATATTTAGATACACACATATCTAAAAAAATTTTTTTCTTTTAAATTTTTCCTGATGCCAAAAGGAAGAGAGAACTTCCCCACTTTTTTTTTTGCAAAACATTTCCTTTAGGCCAGGCGCAGTGGCTCACACCTGTAATCTCCCCACTTTGGGAGGCCGAGGCAGGCAGATCTCTTGAGGCCAAGAGTTTGAGACCAGCCTGGCCAACATGGTGAAACCCCGTCTCTACTAAAAATACAAAAAAAATTAGCTGGGAGTGGTAGCTTATGCCTGTAATCCCAGCTATTCAGGAGGCTGAGGCAGGAGAATCACTTGAACCCGGGAGGTGGAGGTTGCAGTGAGCTGAGATCACACCATTGCACTCCAGCCTGGGCAACAGAGTGAGACTCCATCTCAAAAAAATAAACAAAAAACCACCATTTCCTTTAAAGAACTTGTCACTGCAAATCCTTTTACTATGTCTTTGAGATGTATGTAAATCTTTTAAAAAGCTGAATATCTCTAGCCATTTTATACCTCAGGACAGTCTCTTTTTTGGAGGCCACGGAGACATCTCTTTGAAATGTGAGCACTGAGGAGGTTGGTACCTTGTCTCCCTGTCTCTGTGGGAGTTTAGCTTAGGTACCTGGCTCCAAGTAGTAACTTCTGTCTGTTGTCAAGATAGAAGTTTTATTTTTCCTTTGGACACAGATAATTAACATGTATGTCGTGTATTGTATCTGCTCTGCCATCTACAAGGGTGAGATTTGTCTTTGCAATCTCTTTAGCAGCTTGCCTGTGATGTGCATCACAGTTTAATGCTTATTCAAGAATAAAAATGTTTCTCTTCTGCATTTGTGGAAAGAATTATCTCTCCGGAGTTGGCAGGAGATTTTATTTTTAATTATATTTCCCCAACATGTTCCTATTACAAGGTGCATTACTAGAATTTTTCAGGAATTTTGTTTTGCTTTGTTTTGTTTGTTTGTTTTAGACAGAGTCTCACTCTGTCACCCAGGCTGGAGTCCAGTGGCACCATCTCAGCTCACTATAACCTCTGTTTCCTGGGTTCAAATGATTCTTCTGCCTCAGCCTCCTGAGTAGCTGGGACTACAGGCATGTGCCACCATGCCCAGCTAATTTTTGTATTTTTAGTAGAGACAGGGCTTCACCTTGTTGGCCAGGCTGGTCTTGAAATCCTGACCTTAGGTGATCTGCCCGCCTCAGCCACCCAAAGAGCTAGGATTACAGGTGTGAGCCACCTTGCCCGGCTCAGGAATTCTTATAATTACCCAGAAAGATAAGCGTGACTATCTTTGTTTTAACAAGGGGTTAAATTGCAAAAAGAAAGGGAGGGTACCATAAGTCAGAGACACAACTAGGAATGAAGCCAGCAGTTCTAACTGATCCTTAATGAAAAGGAGAAAAAGGGCCAGGTGCGGTAGGTCACGCTTGTAATCCCAGCACTTTGGGACGCCACGGCGGGCAGATCAACTGTTAGGAGTTTCAGACCAGCCTGGCCAACATGGTGAAACATCATATCTACTAAAAATACAAAAATTAGCTGGGCATGATGGCGGATGCCTGTAATCCCAGCTACTCGGGAGGCTGAGACAGGAGAATCGCAAGGTTGCAGTGAGCTGAGACTGTGCCATTGCACTCCAGCCTGGGCGACAGAGCAAGACTCTGTCTCAAAAAAATAAAAAAAAAAAAAAGGAGAAAAAGAAAACCAAAAAAGACCATACCTCTTCCCTCAAGTAATTTAGTTTGATCTTTCAAGCTCTGTGAAGTGGATTTCCCCTATGGTTCAGTGCAAGGTAATTCCTCATTCTCTTCAGGGGCAGTTATTTCTGGAGCATAATCCTGTAATCCTGCTGCTTTGACAAATTCAGATAAAGTCAAGGAATCAGATTTTATCCCAGTATGACCTTTTTGCTCTAAATATAAGCCGATAATATCCCTATAGGGAAGGCTGATGGAGCGTTTGAATAATGGCTCTTCAATTTCCAGGAGCTCCTGCGTATGCCGAGAAATTGCCTGAAACGCAAGGATAAATTTTTAATTAGACTAACCTGAAAACACAACCAAATCAAAGAAGGTTTATTTAGTTTTCTAAGCCTCTTGAATATTAACTCCTTATTTCTTTCTTTTTTTTGAGACGAAGTCTTGCTCTGTCGCCCAGGCTGGAGTGCAGTGGCGCGATCTTGGCTCACTGCCACCTCTGCCTCCTGGATTCAAGCAATTCTCCTGCCTCAGCCTCCTGAGTAGCTGGGATTACAGGCGCACACCACCACGCCTGGCTAATTTTTGTATTTTTAGTAGAGATGGGGTTTCACCATGTCGGCCAGGCTGGTCTCGAACTTTTGACTTCAGGTGATCCGCCCACCTTGGCCTCCCAAAGTGCTGGGATTGCAGGCGTGAGCCACTGCACCCTGCCAATTCCTTATTTCTATGGGGAAATAAAATAATGAAACAAATTCACAGGCTTACTAGCCTAACCTTACCAAAACCAATTTCTTAAATGTCATGATTATCCTTTTCAAAGTACCATTTAAGACATTTCTAGGCCCTTGCATCAGATGGCCATGGATGGGTTCATTTCTTTGTTTTTGCTGAGCAATCTGACCAAGCATAAGAGCAGATAATATGTTCAGATTAGGAGCCATGACTGTCTCTGGGAAGGTTATTAAATAACTTGTCTATATGGGGCTCAGTTAATGTGTAACTAAGAAAAAAAATTATAACTCAGGGCCGAGCATGGTGGCTCAAGCCTGTAATCCCAGCACTTTGGGAGGCAGAGGCGGGCAGATCACCGGAAGTCAGGAGTTCGAGAACAGTCTGGCCAACATGGTGAAACCCTGTCTCTACTAAAAATACAAAAATTAGCCAGGAGTGGTGGCAGACGCCTGTGATCCCAGCTACCCAGGAGACTGAGGCCGGAGAATCGCTTGAACCTGGGAGATGGAGGTTGCAGTGAGCCAAGATCATGCCATTGCACTCCAGCCTGGGCAACAAGAGCGAAACTCCATCAAAAAAAAAAAATCATAACAAATAGTTACCTCATTTATTTAACTAAAAAACTCAAACACTAAAAAGCAGACATTAAAGTTCGAGCTGTTTTATTAGTACTTATACTTGTGTATTCTAAAATATCTTTTGCCACAATTTTCAGCATCTGTAAAACAAAATTTGTATTCATTGAGCACCATGCCACTTGATATCCTAGCTTAAATTGTGATTGCTGGCCAGGCCGTGGCTCACGCCACGCCTGTAATCCCAGCACTTTGGGAGGCCAAGGCAGGCAGATCACGAGGTCAGGAGATCGAGACCATCCTCGCTAACATGGTGAAACCCCATCTCTACTAAAAATACAAAAATTAGCCAGGTGTGGTGGCATGCTCCTGTAATCCTAGCTACTTGGGAGGCTGAGGCAGGAGAATCACTTGAACCTGGGAGGCGGAGGCTGCAGTGAGCCGAGATCGCACCACTCTACTCCCGCCTAGGTGACAGAGAGAGACTCTGTCTCAAAAAAAAAAAAAAAAAAAAAATTGTGATTGCCTTTTCAAATTCTAGTTTTAATCCTAGGTCAGTTATAATACCACTGTTTGAATTCATATTCTGCCTCTGGATGAGACGACAGTCCATGGAATTGCTGCTAGAACACAGCCAAAGGGTATTTGGAATGGACTTTTTTGTTGTTTTTTTTTTAATTTAAAGCTACTGGTCAGAGTTATAAGACTGTAAAATTTGTGCCACAGACAATGCTAAACCTGATATAAAACTGCCCATTAGCAATGCCTTTTAGATAGGCAAGATGCCATGTTTCTCAGATCTTACTTGAACTGGTTTTGTTGACTCTAGAGATGATTTATGGGTATAGTTGCCTTGGCATTCCGAGTAAGGATTCTGTTTTTTTTTGTTTGTTTGTTTTTGTTTTTTGTTTTGTTTTGTTTTAGAGATGGGGTCTTGCTGTGTTACCCAGGCTGGAGTGCAGTGGATATGCAAAAGCACAATTATAGTGTACTATAGCCTTGAACAACTGGGTTCAAGCCATCCTCCTGCCTCAGCCTCCTGAGTTGTCCAGTGAGAATTCTAATTGAGATCTTTATCAGTTGGGGCTTCTAAGAACTGAGATCCAAGTTACTACAAAGGCCAGGTGAGGTGGCTTATGTCTCTGGGAGGCCGAGGCAGGTGGATCACCTGAGGTCAGGAGTTCGAGACCAACCTGGCCAACATGGCAAAATCCTGTCTCTACTAAAATTACAAAAATTAGCTGGACGTGGTGGTGCACGCCTGTAGTCCCAGCTACTCGGGAGGTTGAGGCAGGAGAGTCGCTTGAACCTGGGAGGCAGAGGTTCCAGTGAGCTGAGATCGCACCACTGCACTCCAACCTGGGTGATGCAGAGAGATTCCATCTCAAAAAACAAACAAACAAAAAAAACAAATTGCTACAGAAAAAAAAAAAGCCAGTCGTGAAGTTGCATGCCTGTAGTCCCAGCTACTTGGGAGGCTGAAGTAGGAGGATCTTTTGAGCCCAGGAGTTTGAGACTGCAGTGAGGAGCCATGATCATGCCACTGCACTGCGGCCTAGGTAACAGACCTGTCTCCAAAAGCAAACACACACACACACACACACACACACACACACACACACACACACACGAACAGGTGGCTTCTAAGACTTCTTGTTTGTGATGCATGCTTCTACGTGTGCACCTTGTTTGGTAGGCATCTCACCCTGATTCTCTTTTAGTATATGTGCTGCCAAAGCAAGTACCCTGATTCTCCTTTCCAATGCCCCGAATAGAAAAGGTTATTTCACAAATTCCCTAAGGTTCACAGATTGTATTCCCAGGAGGTACACTGCAGTCATATACACATTATTAACAAAAAGAGCTGTGTGCCCACTGTGGGCTGAGAGGGTTCACTACTGTTTTGCACAGTATTGTAATGCAGAAATTAAAAGTGTTCCCTACACATTCGTGTGTATTTATTTATCAAGACAGGAAGGTCTTGCTCTGTCATGCAGGCTGGAGTACAGTGGTGTGATCATAGCTCTCTGCAGCCTTGAACTCCTAGGCTCAAGCCATCTTCCTGCCTCGGCCTCCCAAGTAGCTGGGACAACAGATGCATGACAACATACCCTGCTTTTTTTTTGGTAGAGATGGGGTTTTGCCATGTTCCCCAGCTGGTCTCAAACTCCTGGATTCAAGTGATCCTCCTACCTCAGCCTCCAAAATGCTAAGATTACAGGTGTGAGCCAGCTGCTCAGCCACATTCATGTGTTTTTGGAATTTTTCTTTGTTTTGGGAAGGGAGTATATATATATAATCTACTCATATTCCCTCTGTGGGCTATAACAGCAAATGATACGGGTTTTTTTTATGGCTCTTGGTGCTTAGGGGTTTCTTAATAAAAATAATAATTTCATAAAAAAAGCAATTCATTACACTTAGCACTGAAATCAATAAATACAATCTGACTATCTCTCCTCCTATTCAGTGATTTTTAAAAGTGTGTCTGAAGTTCATCAATGAAACAAGAAGTCCTCTGACAGGTGAAAGATTGAACTAAAACTGCAGTTTCTTTCTTTAGTTATTATTCTTTTTGAGACAGGGTCTCGCTCTGTCAATCAGGCTGGTGTGCAGTGGCATGATCATAGCTCACTGCAGCCTTGACCTCCTGGGTTCAAGTGATCCTCCCACCTCAGCATGCTGAGTAGCTGGGACTACAAGTATGTGCCACCACACCTGGCTAACTTTTAAAATATTTTTTATAGAGCTGGGGTTTCACTATATTGCCCAGGCTGGTCTCGAATTCCTAGGCTCAAGCGATCCTCCTACCTCAGCCTCCCAAAGTGCCGGGATTATAGGCGTGAGCTACTGTGCCCGGCCTCTCTAGTTCTGATGAACAAACAACAAGCAGTAGACTTTATTTTTGCCTATGACTTAGAGCAACTTACTGGCAAATTACTTGAGTTAGTAAGGATTATTGGAAATAGGTATTTGTGAGGATGATTAGTTTTCTAAGGATTCATAATTCTACATTCTAAGGTGATAGCTTATACTCAGTGCGTGGCATCACGGCAGAACACCTACTTCACATGGCCTCAACCAGTTACCTGCAATGCCTGTGGTTTTCAAGAAGACAATTATTACTATATTATCATTGTAACTTGTGTTGATCATTGTTTTCAAAGGCTGCTGTTCTTTTATTTGTAAACTACTGATGGTTTTGCTTCATCACCAATTTATTGTGTATTGGTTATTACCTCATAGTATGTAACTATGCATATTTGTATAATTGGAATCTATAATTTATATGATCTAAACCTAAAGACAAAGACATAATTGTTGTGGTTAAAATATGAACCATCTATACCACTATTATTATTATTATTTCAGAGATGAGGTCTCCCTCTGTTGCCCAGGCTGGAGTGCAGTGGCATGACCATAGCTCACTGCAGCCTCAAACTCCTGGGCTCAGGCATTCCTCCCACCTCAGCCTCTGGAGTAGCTGAGATTACAGGTCCAAGCCACTGCAGCCAGCCTATACCAGCATTATTAAAGCAGATGTATAGTCTCCTTAACATCTGCTTGTTGATTCATCTAACAACATGGATTAATCTTAAATGCATTTTGCTAAGGAAAGGAAGCCGGACCCAAAGAATGTGCATTATTTGATTCCACTTATGTGACATCAAAAACAGATTAGGGATTACGGTAAAGGGATGGGCTGACTGCAAAGGGAAATTCTAGAGTGACAGAATTGTTCTGTATGGTTCTTTGGTGGTGGATACATGAGTGCATGCATTTGTCAAAACCCACAGAACTACACACAACAAAGAATGGTTTTACTGCATGCAAACTTTTAAAAAGCCAGGAAGAGAGGCCAGGCGCAGTGGTTCATGCCTGTAATCCCAGCACTTTGAGAGGCCAAGGTGGGTGGATTGCTTGAGCTCAGGAGTTTAAGACCAGCCTGGGCAATATGGCGAAACCCCATCTCTATCTCCTCAAAAAAGTACAAAAAATTAGACGGGTGTGGTGGCATGTGGCTGTAGTCCCAGCTACCCGGGAGGCTGAAGTGGGAGGATTATTTGAGCCCAGGAGGTGGAGGTTGCACTGAGCTGAGATTGCACCACTGCACACCATCCTGGGTGACAGAGCAAGACCTTGCCTCAAAAAAAAAAAAAAAAAATCCAGGATGTTGGGGTGGAATAAAGGCTGTGGACAAATGAATCTAACTGTATTATAGAGTAAGACATAATCTCACTGAAGGGGGTGGGGAAGAAAGGTGCTGACCTGTAACTTTAAGAAAACAGTGCTTTGTCTAGATACTGTAAGGCGAGAGACAGAAACAGCTGTACACAAACACTGAACTCTATTGGGTAAATCTGTCTTTCATAGGGAAACATATTTACATATAAGGAGAGCCAAGTTTCTCAATGTCAGAAAAAGTAGTTATAAACAGGCAAGGGGGTATAATCCCAGCACTTTGGGAGGCCAAGACAGTCGGATCACCTGAGGTCAGGAGTTTGAAACCAGCCTGGCCAACATGGCGAAACCCCATCTCTACTAAAAATACAAAAAAAATTGGCCAGGTACAGTGGTGGGCGCCTGTAATCCCAGCTACTCGGGAGGCTGAGGCGGAAGAATTGCTTGAACCTGGGAGGCAGAGGTTGCAGTGAGCCGAGATCGCGCCATTGCACTGCAGCCTGAGTGACAGAGTGAGACTCTATCTCAAAAAAAAAGAAAAAAGAAAAAAAAAGGCAAGTGGGGTTGGGGATAGGAAGGATGGGAAGGAAGGCTAGAATGAACTCTGTGATGTTAGATTAGAGATATCAGAGAGATCAATCTTTTTTTGAGATGGAGTTTCACTCTGTCATCCAGGCTAGAGTGCAGTGGTATGATCTCAGCTCACTGCAACCTCTGCCTTCCAGGTTCAAGGGATTCTCCTGCCTCTGCCTCCCTAGTAGCTGGGATTACAGGTGCGCACAACCAGGCCCGGCTAATTTTTTGTATTTTTAGTAGAGACAGGGTTTCACCATGTTGGTCAGGTGGTCTTGAACTCCTGACCTCAGGTGATCCACCCGCCTGAGCCTCCCAAAGTGCTGGCATTACAGGCATGAGCCACCACGCCCGGCCCCCATGCTTATTTTAATACATATGTATATACACAGATAGATACGAAATAAGATAGATATTTGTGTACACATGGGTTAGTATATATACATTTATTTCCTAGATCTTTCTGTTAAGAGTGCATAGAAGCAGTGACACTCAGTAGCAACAAGCACAACTAGTGTCCACGTCTTGGTTTCTAAATACCATCCTCTGATAAAATCAACCAGGGCTCCTTAGAAACATGGCTGATTCTGGGGCTGCAGCAGGAAAAATATAAGATGAGTCCGAAGCAACTTATATTGCCAGAAGGTAAGGAGATGCTTTAAAAAAAAGGGAGGACATGTCAAAAGGCCACAAGAGCCAATTTAAAAGAGCCCCCAATGGTGAAAGATGGCACAATTTGAGCAACAAAATAAATAGCAATAGAACTGGGTTATAACCCCAAAAATAAATATCCATAAGTCCACACTAATATCAATGACTGAATGG
Source organism: Homo sapiens (assembly GCF_000001405.40). Taxonomy (NCBI): domain Eukaryota; kingdom Metazoa; phylum Chordata; class Mammalia; order Primates; family Hominidae; genus Homo; species Homo sapiens. The sequence goes on along the minus strand of NC_000014.9, from coordinate 77,384,432 downwards.
ATTAAAAAATGGGAGAAAGGGGACAATTAAATGTAGAAGAATTCCTTACAGAAGAATTCCAATTAAACATAGAAGGGCTGAGAAGATAACAGAAAATGGCCATAAATTAACTGCAAGGCTTGTATAGGAGGTGCACAGTGGCAATGCTGTTCAGATTCTTAGCAGCATGTCCAGAATTCCACACTCTCAAGCAATCTGCTCGCTCTTCCTTCCTTCTATTCTCCCAAAAGTCCATAAATGATGATATGGGAGACTCAGCATGAAAAAGATAACTATACTATTTAACTGTTGTTATGGGATAAATTGTGGGTGAACTAGGTGCTGTAAGTACAATGGAGACATTTTAAAAGCTGTGTATATCAGTAAGGAAGACAGCTACAGCATGTATGACCTCCTAGAAGTTACCCTGTGTCTTAGAGCATAATCAGGTTTTTTTTTTTTTTTTTTTTTTTTTTGAGACTGAGTCTTGCTCTGTCACCCAGGCTGGAGTGCAGTTCATGGAGAGCACAATCTTGGCTCACTATAACCTCCGCCTCCCAGGTTCAAGCTATTCGCCTGCTTCAGCCTCCCAAGTAGCTAGGACTACAGGCATGCAACATGCCTAGCTAATTTTTTTATTTTGTATTTTTAGTAGAGAAGAAGTTTCACCATGTTGGCCAGGCGAACTGCCAACCTCAGGTGATCCACCTGCCTTGGCCTCCCAAAGTGCTGGGATTACAGGCGTGAGCCACCAGACCTGGCCATAATCAGCTTTTTCATGTGGGTCTAAGTGTCAAGCAAAGCTTATCTAACGTAACCTTTGGATGTCTTGGTCTTTATGTTACTCTAGTGACCTCAAGGGAAGGCCACATTTGTCTGAGGTGACTGTGATAATGAGTATCTCAAAGTTTGCTTATTCAAATTTCTTAGATAAAAGGACAGACCACTGGATTCGTCATTTACTCTTGAGGATTTCAGAAGATTTTTAAAACCTCTTGTGTCTCGCAAGATAAGAAAAACTATAATTAGAATTTTTATTACTGCATGTTGATATTGTACTTTTGGAATTAGAATACCAAGGGAGCTGAATGAATTGTCTGACTCTTAAAAATGCCTTCTCATGATAAAAAGCTGAAATTCTTGGTACTTAAATGTTCCAGGAATTTGACAGGTTACTATTTTGCTAATTCTGTTCCTTATTATTATTATTTTTTTAAGCGAAAGCAAGTTTATTAAGAAAGTCAAGGACTATGGCTGCTCCGTAGGCAGAGCAGCCTGTTCCTTATTTTTATCTAGAAAATTCATTATACCTTAAGTAGAAATTAGAGTTCATAAAAACAGCTGTATTATCTTTGAACATAAAAAGAACAAGATATTTATCTGGCAGTACTTGGTAGTTAAGTGAGGGCATGGTTGGAAATACAAGTATATAATAAATGATCCAGGCTGGGCATGGTTCATGCCTATAATCCCAGCACTTTGGGAGGCTGAGGCGGGTGGATCTGAGGTCAGGAGGTCGAGACCAGCATGGCCAACATGGTGAAACCCCGGCTCCACTAAAAATACAAAAATTAGCCAGACATGGTGGCACGTGCCTGTAATCCCAGCTACTTGGGAGGCTGAGGCAGGAGGATTATTTGAACCTGGGAGGCGGAGGTTGCCGTGAGCTGAAATCGAGCCACTGCACTCCAGCCTGGGTGACAGAGCAAGACTCTGTCTCAAAAAAATAAATAAAATAAATAAAGGATCATTTCCACATCATAATGTTTATAGTACATGGAAGTTTATGGTAACAAAAATGTTCACTTAGGCAATACAGTTAAATAGAACATGGATTGGGAAGTCACACAAGATGGACTTAAATCCTGGCTCTTAAACTTGTTATCTGAATATAAGTCGGGCGTGGTGGCTCATGCCTATAATCCCAGCACTTCTGGGAGGCCAAGGCCGGCAGATCACTTAAGGTCAGGAGTTTGAGACCAGCCTGGCCAATATCATGAAACCCTGTCTCTATTAAAAATACAAAAATTAGGCTAGGTGCGGTGGCTCACGCCTGTAGTCCCAGCATTTTGAGAGGCCGAGGCAGGCAGAGCACGAGGTCAAGAAATCAAGACCATCCTGGCTAACACGGTGAAACCCCATCTCTACTAAAAATACAAAAATTAGCTGGGCGTGGTGCCACGCGCCTGTAGTCCCAGCTACTCGGGAGGCTGAGGCAGGAAAATCGCTTGAACCCGGGAGGTGGAGGTTGCAATGAGCTGAGATCGCACCACTGCACTCCAGCCTGGGCAACGGAGTGAGACTCGGTCTCAAAAAAAAAAAACCCCAAAAAAACAACAAGAAGAAAAAATTAGCTGGGCATGGTTGCGCACACCTGTAGTCCCAGCTACTTGGGGGGCTGAGGCAGGAGAATCGCTTAAACCAGGAGATGGAGGTTGAAGTGAGCCAAGGTTACACCACTGCACTCCAGCCTGGGTGACAGAGCGAGACCCTGTCTCAAAAAAAACAAAAACAAAGACAAAAAACAGAAAAAACGTATTATCTGAATAGCTTGTTAAGTTGTTTCACCTTTCTGGGCCCCAGTTTTCTATAAAATGGGAATTAGTGAAATAATACATATAAGAGGCCCCAAACACAGTAAGCTCTCAGCAAAGCATAGCTATTAGCAGAATTTAAGAAAGTAAACGCTCAGTTAGGACTGTATGTTTAATAATTTAAAAAGTTTCGTTATATCTTCTTGCTAGTAAAAGGACTCAGGTATTAACAAGCATAGTTTTCTTATTTCTAAACCATATGACTTATGGAATTTTAGGGTTATAAGGCCTGTTGAAGAGTCATCTAGGGAAGAGATTCCAGGGCCTACCCAGCCCTAATGAATCAAAATCTCTGGAGGATGAAGCCTAGGAATGTATCTTTTTCAAAAAATCTCATTTGATTCTGAAGACGACCCAAGTTTGGAAACCACTGAGGTGGTACATTTCTGGGCATGGGTGTGCTGAGCAAAACCATGGTTATGCCAAGAACTGTCCATTCTTGGAGGGTTATTGGGGTGGGGTACTAAAGGAGAGGTTACACGTGAGATTGTTTGTGATGCTTTGTAAATTGCAAAGCACTACAAATGGAGGGTACTGTTATGCAAAGGAGAATAATCATGAACTGTTGGTGCTGGAGATTTTAGAAAATTGATGCTCAGAGTGGTTAATGTAGCTTGTTTCAAAGTTAGGCAGCAAAGCAGGCAAAATACATATGGTGTTATATAAGTGCCAAATGGGTGTCAGAGACACAAAATGTCATGAGAACTTGGGATGGGGGCTACTGTGGGCTGGGAATGTTACAAAAGACTTCTTGGGGAGATGCAAATGAGGAACTGGTCTTGAAGGATGATTAAGATTCATATTAGTAATACAGAGGATGGGGGAACTGAGCGAAGACATAGAGAGAAGAACGCACCAGGCAGGTTTGCGAAGGTGTTAGACCTGGTGGTAGGCTGGAGCACAAAATTCATGTGGAGGAGTGGTAGGGGAGAGAACTTGTGGAGGGCCCTAAATTCTAAACTAGGGAGTGGAGACTATCTTGGTAAGCAGAAGGGATCCAAAGAAGGTTTTTGAATAGTACATAAGTAGGTGGAAAGTGAGAGCATAAAAGCAGGGCCCTTGAATCCAAAGGGTCCATTGAGACAGGCTAAAAGCGGGAGGCCACTGTGGTGTTCTAGGCATGAGGCCATAAGGTCTGAAAAGTGGGAATGAAGAAAGCCAGACGGTGTAAGTGCCACAGGAGCAATGGACAGTTCTTGGAATATTTATGGGGATCAAAGGAGAAAGAGGAGGCAACCACCGTGAGCCTGAGGAACTGGAATTATGATGACACCATTGACAGAAGTGGGAGGCCAGGCTGGAGGAAAAAAAGGTTGGTTTGAGACAGATGGTGGCACTGTTAACAGTGCTCTGTAGGGAAACTTTGGACACAACTCACCTTCATGTCCTCAAAGTTTGTTATCCCCATCTGAGGGAGGTTTGAGCAGTTGACGTGAATGAGTTTTCGGCCACTGATGAAGTTTGTGATAAAACACTCCTGTCAATACAACAAGGACATCACTTAAAAAATGTACTGCAAATAGAAGGAAGAAAGGGAGGGAAGGGGGAGGAAGGGAAGAAGTCGTGTTTGTTCTACCCTGAGAAAAAAATATTATTTTGTTTTTTCTTTTTTAGAGACAGGGTCTCACTCTGTCATCCAGGCGGGAGTGCAGTGCTGCAGTCATAGATCACTGCAGCCTCGAACTCCTGGACTCAAGCAGTCCTCCTGCCCCAGCCTCCTGAGTAGCTTAAATTTACTTTCTATCCCAATAACGGCACAATTTTTCCATGTAAGCTCTTTATTAAATTTTACACTGCTCTTTAACTGTTTTTTTGGGCATGGTACAACCAGTGCTTCTTCATGTCTCAATTACATTTGTAAGTATAGTAGGTACAAAAGGTTTCAGATCTTGTATTGTTTTGTGGTAGCCTTAAACCTAGTTGGCATCAGTGAAACAAGAGGTTTACACTGACTTTTTACTAAAACTAGTTTTGGTTAACTGGCTAACTTGAATTAATACACTTAAGTGCTCATGATACAGGTGACATATTTGGGGCAGACACTTTAAAAAGTAATAGCACAAGTTCAAAGCAAGGGAGCTGCCACTAAAATAACTTGACAAAGTACCAAAAAGCCTACCTTGAACAAAGTCTACTTAAAAATACAGTTTTCTATGAAAGGAGGTCTAAGGCCGGGCACGGTGGCTCACGCCTGTAATCCCAGCACTTTGGGAGGCTGAGGCTGGCGGATCACGAGGTCAGGAGATGGAGACCATCCTGGCTAACACAGTGAAACCCCGTCTCTACTAAAAATACAAAAAATTAGCCGCGCATGGTGGCGGGCGCCTGTAGTCCCAGTCCCAGCTACTCAGGAGGTTGAGGCAGGAGAATGGCGTGAACCTGGGGAAGGTGGAGCTTGCAGTGAGCCGAGATCGTGCCACTGCACTCCAACCTTGGCAAGAGCGAGATTGTGTCTCAAAAAAAAAAAAAGAAAGGAGGTCTATATACTCTTCTTGGTCTTTTATTCAAGGATTGCAGAGAAGTGTAATCACTGGAAGAGGAAAAACAAACCGATGTGACCCTCCCTTCCTCTCCCAAAATACAAATATACATCAGTGGCAAGGCCAAAATTAAAATCCAAGTTACCTCTACCACAGTCTAGGACTTTTTGATACTCCTTCCGGTAAAGAGGTAAGAGCTCAGGCCAAGTTAGAAGGAATAAGAAGTAGACGGATGACAGCATGTGATTTCAAAACATCTTATTTTTGTATACCTTGTATTGAGGGAAGCCTAGCTGGCTAATCCACTCTGCAACTTCCTCTGGATCCCAATTAAGATGCTCAAATTGTAACTCAGTCCCTTTTTCTGGCTGGGTTTCGTCATCTTCAGAGACCCGTTCCTTCAACTCTTGGGACAAATCTACAACTTCCTTTTCATGAACGAACTCACTTAATTCTGTCTGAGACTCTGAGGGATCTGAGTATGAGCATTCTTCACTGACATTAAGCAATTTTTGGAGTGGTTGCAAAAACTCATAATGTGTACCAATTGATTCTTCACTTTCTCTGAGAGATCCTAATGCGTAATATTCTTTTCTAAATTTGTCACTTAGTGACAACTTTCCTCTTTTAGGCTCACGGTGCTCTAGCTCATCGTTTCCTACAGAATACTTAGACTTTATTGGTTCTGGCCTGTCTTCCTTGGAAAATTCTACATGTGTCTCCCTTGGTTTGGTTTCATCTGGTAACTCTAGAATTTTCTCAGTTGGCTTTGTTTGTGTTTTCTCTTCAACTTGTGGGTTGATCTCCTGTGGTAGCACTGGACCAGTCTCCTCTGGTGGCTGTGGATTTTTTTTCTCATTTGACTTTCTTATCTCTTCTGGACTTTCTGGTTTCATCATTTCTGATTGTTCTAGAATTGTTTCCTCATTTGTTTTTCTTGATTCTTCCTCAGGAAACTCTAATTTGATCTCTTCTAGTGGCTCAGGAACGTTCTCATCAGTAGACTTTCTTGGCTTGTGGTCTGGAAAGTCTGGTTTAGTCCGCTCAGGTAGTTCTGTCCCTTTCTCCTCAGTTGCCTTTCTTTGCATCTCCTCTGGAACCTCTGGTTGAGTCTCTTCTGGAGGCTCTAGACCTGCCTCCTCACTAGACTTTCTTGGTTCCTTCTCCAGAAATTCCAGTCTAGCCTGCTCGGGTGGCTCTGTCCTTTTCTTCTCAGTTGACTCTCTTTGTGTCTCCTCTGGAGTCTCTGGTTTGGTCATCTTTGGTGGCTGAAGATCTGTCTCTTCAAGTGATTCTCCTAGTTTCTCACTTGGAAAATCTTGTTTGGTCTGCTCTGGAGGCTCTAGACCTGTCTCTTCATGTTGCACTCTAAGTGATTCCTCTGGAACCCCCGGTTCAGTCTCCTCCTCTAGTAATTCTAAATTTCTCTCTCTGACTGTGGCCCCCGAAACCTCAGACATGGTTTCCGTTGGTGGCACTGGATCTGGATCTGTTTCCATAGCTGACTCTAGGAACACATCCTCTGTAACATTTGGTTTAGCCTCCTCTGGTGGCTCTAGGTCTGACTCTTTATGCGTTTCATCCATAGGGGCCTCCAAATCTTTGAAAAACTCTCCCATCTCTCTGGATGTTTCCGACTTTACCTCTTGGTGTATCCCTGGTTCAGTTTCGCTTGGTACGTCTCTCTTGGACTCCTTGGCAATTCCTTCCTGGGACGTCCCGCCAGGTTTCAGCTGCACGTTCTTAGCACTGTCTGGCTCCCCCTCTTTGAAGTCCTCTTCCTCGGTCTCTGGCTGTGGCTCTTGGTAAATCTCTGCTGGTAGCTTCGAGTCTGCCTTTGCCATGGTGTCTGGTTCGGCATTTTCATACAATTTATGAAGTCCAGGCAGTTCAGGCCTCTCAGGCTCCAGCTCTCCATCTTCATCTGGGCCGGAATCATAATCCTCCGGGACTTCAGCCATTTGCAGCTTAGCAGACGCGCCGCGGCTTCCTAGCAACCCCAACTTCCGATAGCGTCTCTATGGATACCACGATTTCCGGCAGTGTCTTCCTGACTCTTCCCCAGGTTTTGTTTGTTCTTTCAAGCCCTGACTTTAAAAATCGTCTGTCACAAGCACGCAGTAACCCTCCCTGCGGCCTCATCGCCAGCCTCAGCGGGCCAGAGCTCCTGTGGCCGCCCCTGGGTCAGCTAGCTTTTCAAGCGGCCGCCGCGCCGCTTCTTCCGGCCTGCAGGCTGCGCTCGGCTGTGCTCGGCGCTCGCTCGGCCTTCGGCTGTTTCCGGAGCCACTCGCGGCTGGCAGCGGAGAGCTCCGTGCGCGGGCTGCAGATGTCTGACCTGCAGGCGGCTGAGGGGCCGGGCTCCTGGAGCCCCACAGCCCGCCCAGGGTCGGCTGGCGGCGTCGGGGACTGCCAGGGAGTGGAGGGGAGCCAGGCGGCCGCCTCAGGTACGCAAGGCCGGGGCGCTGGCGGGTGGGTGCCGCCCGGCCTCAGGGCCCCGCACCACGGCGCGAGCCTCCGCCGCGCTCTGTCCTGGGCTTCCCCGCGGAGCGGACCCACCTCGGCAGCCCCTTCGCGCGCGGGGCCCCTTCCCCGCCGCTGCCACCACCCGGGCCCTGGGCTCGAGGTTATTTTCTACTCACTCCTGTTTCGAAATGCCTTGATTCCTGCCCCGCTTCCTTTCTGAGATCTGCCCAAATGGTAGTGACAGGGTGGCTCTGCCCCTGGCGCCTCTTCAGCTTCAGTTTCAGCTTCAGCCGGGGTTCGGGTCCCACCTCCGTCTGCTAATCACATCTAGACTGCCGACCCGAACCCTACTGGCCTCGCCGCCCCCTGCTTCTGGCTCCCCACCCTATCCCCATCTCAGTCCCCTGCCCCAGCCTTACCACGCGCCTCTCGGCCCCCACCCGGGTTGGCAGCCTTGCCTTCCTCTGCCAGAAGCCCACTGCGCCCTAGCCTTCCTGCACATAGGCCCCCTGGCCTTGCTGCCATCCTCTCCATCGCTTAGAGTGGGAAAAATGAAAAGCAGAGTTGAAATAGGTAGTGTCTGGGGTCTTTTGCTTGAACACAGTAGCCAAAGCAAGAGCAGGAATTAAAAATTTGGCCTACCTCCCTCATTCTCAAGACCCTCATCCTCTTCTTGTCCAGGACGACGTCTCCATTTCTACTAACGCGAGTTCCTCCGTGTGTATTATTTCAGTGTCCAAAGACAAAAGAGTCCATCCATCACACTTTCTTCTTTCAGCCTCCTGAACACCACACACGATGCAACTGAAAGGATGCTCTTTTGAAATACGAAAGGGTAGAGGGGAGAGAACTTGTCTTATTTAAGTAGCAAATATAAATTAATTTTCTAGGTCTGAAATTAAAATAGACACCATAAAGTATAATGGTTGAGGCACTACTGTGGAGCCAGGGTGCCTGGATTGGAGTCTGAAACGTCAGTTTCCTCATCTGTAAAATGTGATTACTAAAAATATCTGCCTCATAGGATTATTGTGAGGATTACTTGAGCTGCTTTGTCTAAGGCATTTGGGGTATAGTCCATGGTACACACTATACTCGTCTCAACCATTGTGACAGTAAGGTCTCTTTTTGTTCAGTTGAACTTCCTGTGCCGCCAGAGGTGTTCTTGGATGTATGGCTTCCAACATGGTGCCTTTTTCTGTCTTCTACTCTGATCCCAAGTATCTTCCCTCTCATAATGCTGCCTTATTCAAACACACACACAACTCACCCAGCTCTTTCCCATGATTTTATATTCTTTTACTTTAAAACACCTGACAAATTTTGCCTTTTTTTCTTACGAACTCTGCTTTGTATTAAATTAAAAATCGTTGGCATATATTTAACATAGCAGTAGAAATTCTAAGCATAATGTCTAAAAGACTAAGCAAGTAAACACAGAAAGGTAAGTCTTATAACACTTGTCCCTTGCATGCGCCAGTATTTACAAATTAAGCATGTTTTTACTTCCCCTTTAGGTTCTCATGTGTTTATGGCAAACGTACCCACGCGTTTTAGATAGATGAGTGTGTTTTTTTTTCCCCCTGACATCTAATTCATTCCTGCATTCACTTCCTCCCAGGACATTGGTAGAGATGCTTACTTTCCTTCCTCTTACCCTCAGAATGCAGGGTGATAATTTTTTTTTTTAATGTCATGTAGGGGTTTATTATAGTAGCCCAGAGCAAGCTCTTCCTCTTGAGGTAGGATTTGTTGCTAATAAAATAATAGTAATGATAACCTACAGATATTGAATGCTTATTCTGTGCCAGAGGTGGAAAAAAATTTATATTTTCTGATTTAGTCATGTCAACAATCATTTTCTTCCCATTTTACAGAGGAACAAACTACAGCTGAGAAAGGTTAACTTACCTGTTCAAGTTAGCGCAAGTTTTTACTGTCTGGATGAAATTGTCATCTTGTTATGATGAAGTCTATAATTGTTTGTTTTTATTGGCCATGAATCAAGTATTGGTACTCGCAGACAGGTTATGGTCTCTGTCCTCAAGGTGTTTTCAGTTTGATGAGATGAGAGATCCATTTCAGGGAGAAACAATTAACAATTCAAAACATTATATAATTGGGCGTCTTTTATTACAATTCTTTATCTACTAAGAAACCTGCTTGGAGTTAGGAACGGAATCTCTCTTGCTTGTTTATTTATCTAGAGCCCTTGATGTTGTGTTTTAGAGGTTTCGCAAATATTTGCTGAGTTTGATGGTGAGAGAAAGTCTGAATGCAGAGATCTGGATGAGCATCTAATGAATGTGAAGAATTAGGGTTGAGATAACCAAGAATGTTCCTTGGGTTAGAGCAATGGTTTTCAACCAGGTACGATTTTGTATCCCCAGGGCATGGCAATGTTTGGAAACATTTTTGCTCGTCACAACTGGTGGCAGCTATTGCTGACATCTAGTGAGGATAGGCTAGGGATGTTTGCTAAACATCCTGCAAGGCACAGGGCAATCCCCATAACAAGGAGGTATCTGGCTCCAGATGTCAGTGGTGCTGCTTTTGGGAACGCTGTGTTAGAGTTAAGCTGGGCTTCCAAAGCAGTGTGGAAATACTATATTTGGCCTGGACCAGAGGCTTGGGCGTAAACCCCAAAAAACTGCTTTAAACTTGGAATTCGTTTGATTGGATCCTTCTGCCATCTTCCTCTAGAAAATGATACAATGAGTAAGCAATAGAGCTCTAAGAAAGAATGAAATTTAATGAGATTTCTCTCACCCTTTCAGAGAGAAAACAGCAGTAAGAAATGGAATTGGATATTCAGGTGTTCTGTTAGTCCATTTGGAATACCTGAGACTGAGTAATTTATAAGAAAAGAGTTTTAATTGGCTCATGGTATTGCAGGGTGTACAGGAAGTGTGGTGTTGGTATCTGTTTCTGGTGAGGGCCTCAAGAAGCTTAGAATCATACTGAAAGGGGGAGCAGGTATGTCACATGGCGAGAGTTGGGAGTGAGAGAGAGAGAGACGGGAGGAGGTCCCAGACTCTTTTAAACAACCATATCTCAGGTGAACTAACTGAGTGAGAACTCACTTATCATCAAGAGGATGATGCCAAATCATTCATGAGGGATTCATCTCCACGATCCAGTCACCTCCCACCAGACCTCACCTCTAACATTGGAAATCACATTTCAGCGTGAGATTTGGAGGGAACAAACATCCAAGCCATATCAGGTATTGTTGAGTTAAGGGTTTTGGTTTTTTGGTGTATCTTATTCCTTCAAAGCAGGAATGTGTCATTATCCAGAATAACCATAACTTGTTTTTTAAAAGTGTTCTCTGCAGAGAATACCTATTGAGTGTCTTCATGTTTGTTAGCTGAGGTTTTGGTGAAAAGGAAGGAAAGGATTTATGTTCTTATGAACTAAGCTCTCCAGTGGTCATGGTGTTCTTATTGTTTTATGCATTGTAATTGTTTTTAATAGTCTTTTATTTGAGGCACCTGGGTTCTTCAGTTCCCCAGAGGAGAGATAAATCATTCTTTAATTATGAAACTATCTGAGGCATACTTGTTGCATCACTTAAAGGCAGGTTTTTTTGTTTTTGTTTTTGTTTTTTTTTTAAGTTTAAAGGAAAATAAAACTCTATTGTGATCCTGAAGTCAGCAGTAGAACTTAGTTTGGTGTGTATGTCCCCCAGAGCTATCAATACATTTAGATGTTGAGGATGGAAACAGGTCAGGTAAACTTGTTCATGGTTCTAAGGTAGAAGTTAGAATATTACAATAAGTCTTTTTGCAGTGATGAAAATATTTCATATCTGTCCCAGCTACTCAGGAGGCTGAGGCAGGAGAATCACTTGAACCCAGGAGGCAGAGGTTGCAGTGAGCCGAGATTGCACCACTGCACTCCAGCCTGGGCGACAGAGGGAGACGCTGTCTCAAAAAAAAAAAAAAAAAAAAAAAAAAAAAAATATATATATATATATATATATATATATATATATATATATATATATAATATCTGTGGCTATTTCAATGTGCATGAATTAAAATTCAAAATTTGGTGGCTACCATGTTGAATGGTAAGAATAATAGGGAGTCAATGACAAACAGCCTTGATGTTTTTTAGTTTTCTATTGTGGTTTTATGTCAAAATGTTAACATTTTGTCTGCCTGTGGCTTTCTTTTTCTTACAGTGGTTGTGTTTTTAGTGTCCAGATAGTCGATTAGTCAGATAGTTGATTATTCATGTCGTGATTCAGTCTAAACAGTATAACCAAAGGTGCACAATCTGAGTGACCTCTCAGGAGCATGTCCCACTCAAGGGCTGAAGAGAAATTGGATCACATGGTCACTAGATTTGGTTGGAACATAAACTCACTTAATTTGTTTTCGTTTAAGCCTCTTGAGTCTGTAACCACATAGCCTGCTTTTAGTTCTTCTGCACTGGAATCTAAAATGACAGGCTAATTATCTCTTTGCAGCCTGTTTACTGAGGGGGAAATCCTCTGAGGCCTGTTCTAAAGAACCCTGACCTGATATTCAAATGCTTTTGAAAAAAACCTGCTTTTTGGTTCTCCTTGTAGGGAAAGTACGAAGTACACAGTAAGTTTGAATCCCTAGCATGATCAGAATGTCTGAAACCAGACCCTTTGGTAATGTAGAAAGAAAATGCACATTTAAAAAGTTGTCAAATATAAAATAAGTTATTTTAAGGAAGTTCCTTTTTTCTCTCTCACCTTTGCTTTAGTGGCCATCAATGATAAATTAAGTTATTGTTAAGCTTCCATTTTTCCTCCTCCGTTCATTGTTTCCGAGATTTCGGCCACTGAGGAACCATGGTAATGACTTTGCCACACTGGAGAATACCGTTACAGTATTAGTTATTTACTATTTTTTCTTGACATTGACATTTAATTGACATTTTGATTGACACTTAAAAGTTTCATTCTAAATAATACCTACGATATTACTAGTTTGATATATCCATTTTTCTTAATATATACTAGAATACATATTTTTAAAAATAAAAAACATTTCCCCACATACCATCTAAATTTGCAAAGTCTGGCCTGATTTCTCTGATCTCTTCTAGGAATACTTTCAGAATTGGCTTATATTTGGCTAATATAATAAAAGCTATACTATAGGAAAATTGGCTTTTTCTTCTGCATAGTGGCTTAAATTTCACTGAAGAACTTCAGGAAACCTAAAAGGCTGTGCTCATAATTCTCTCTCACTGAAACAGCGCTGCATCTCCCACACTTTATACTTCTGGAAATAAAGTTATGTTTTTCTTTCTCCTTTTCTTACTTCCTGCCTCTCTGAATCCAATTATAAGTTGTTTTACCAGTAGTTCTTATGTAATTTAGGGCATTCTTTAAAATTAAAAATAATTTAGGGCATTCCTTTAAAGTTAAAAATCAAAAGCTCAACTCCTTATGGGATGGAAAGAAAAAAAATCAAAAGCATATTTTTTTCCAGTATACATTAAGTTGTTAAAATGCTATGAGAAGTGGTGCTTACCATGTGAAAAATGCTCAACCTAAATCATAATAAGGGAATTGGAAATCCTAACTACACTTGGTAGTTTGCTAACTCACTTTGTTGGTCGGTGTGCAGAAGCAGACACTCTCATGCTTTGCTAATGAGATTGTAAATTGGTACAGATTCTGTGGAGGGCAACTTGTCAATATCCATCAGAATTACAATATATGCCCCTTTGACTCATTCTTTCCAGGAATTATAGATTTATTTATTCTCCTGTTTAATGACATAGATACAAGGTTATTATGGCATTGTTTGTAATGGTAATACATTATGGAATATTCACCCAATGAAATACTAATCAGCTGTAGAAAAGAATGAAGAAGCTTTTCATGTGCAGTTATGGAAAGGTCTTTGAGATATAAGTGGAAAGAACAAAGTACACAGTAGTATGTCCAGCATGCTCCCCCCGACCTTTTTTTTTTTCTGAGACAGAGTCTCGCACTGTTGCCCAGGCTGGAGTGCAATGGCGTGATCTTAGCTCACTGCAACCTCCGCCTCCCGGGTTCAAGCGATTCTCCTGCATCAGCCTCTCAAGTAGCTGGGATTACAGGCACGCACCACCACGCCTAAGCATGCCCATTTTTTGTGTAAAAAAGTGAAAAAGTATACACACACACACACACACACACACTTTTTTTTATATGCATAAAACATCTTTGGAAGACTACACAAAACCAAATAACATTGATTGCTTTTGGAGGTAGGGACTGACATGGGAGGAAATTTTTCACTGTATACTTATATGCTTTTTGAATTTTGAATAATGTGGATAAATTATTCAGAAATAGTTAATAAAAATAGTCTTTAAAATATATAAATATATGTGTACATAGATAGACACACACACAAACTTGGCATGAGACTTCACTATGTCTATATCCTAAATAAGAGCCTTTCTATAGGTCTGTATTCTGTTTCTGCTCATCAGGAACTGACATTTTCTAGACCTTTTTCTCTCAGTGAATTTTTTTATAAAAGGTTATAAGTCTCCTTAGAGATTAATTTTGTTATTCTTTAAATCCACTACTGTCTTTCATTATTTTTGTGCTAGTTTCATTTCTGTCTAAAAATTTAACCTTTTTGAAGTCTTCATTACGATCCAAAGGACAGGATAAGCCAAAGGGGGATAGACATAGTAGATAAACTGATATTATTAATCAATGACAGAGAGAGGGCAGAATTTTTTTTTTTTTTTTTTTTTTGAAACGGAGTCTCGCTCTGTCGCCTTGACTGGAGTGCAGTGGTGTGATCTCGGCTCACTGCAACCTCCGCCTTCTGGGTTCAAGCGATTCTCCTGCCTCAGCCTCCCGAGTAGCTGGGATTACAGGCATGTGCCACCACGCCCGGCTAATTTTTGTATTTTTAGTAGAGATGGGGTTTCACCATGCTGGCCAGGTTGGTCTCGAACTCCTGACCTTGTGATCTGCCCGCCTCGGCCCTCCCGCCTCCGCCTCCCTTACAGGCATGAGCCACCGTGCCTGGCAGAGGGCAGAACTATTTTTGTTTCTATTTTATTCACTAAGGTATATTCAGATTGATATGGGTAAATAGGCAATATGGATTTCTGTTTTCAGTAATAGCAGACTAGGTAATTATCTCTCATCAGGGACAATTAGAAAATATGGGTGAAATATAAACATCTGCTGGAAGATACTGGAGAGATAGAAAGATCATGAAGAATTACCTAGCTGTGATCCATGTGAGAGCTATAGAGATCCAAGGACAAGAGTCTATTTTGGGGCTCTTTTGTCTCCTGAGGGTACATGCTGGATTCCTGAGTGGGGAAGCTGAGTGACAAGGTCATGAAAAGTGCCTCTTTGAACTAAAGTAACAGGAAATGGATTAGTGTTCAGGACCCGTCAAGGGGGAGCCTGGTGAACTCCATTTCCTTTGGGTTAGGGCCATGAAAGGCCATGCCCTAAAAGTAGGTCATTGCAGGGAGTGCAACTCAGCTTCAGAAACAGCTAAGTTCATGAATTGGGATTTTTGGGTGGCTTTGACAAGCTGGTTCTAAAATACATATAGAAATAGAAGGCCACAAATAGCAAAGACACTCTTGAATAAGACAACAGGGAAAGATTTGTTCCATCCAACATCAAGACTTATTTTAAAGTTTTTAAAGAGTAGTCAGGCTCTAGGAATAGAATCAAAAGCTTAGAAACATGTTTATACGGACACTTGCTTTGCAACAAAGATTGTTAACATAGAGCAGTGGGTAAGGTAAGGTAAATGTTTCTGGGACAATTGAATATTCTAAGAGAAAGGAAAGTAAAGAAACGTAATCTTTACCTCACACATCATACACAAAAAATCAACTCGGTAGATTATAGAACAGTATGTGAAAGGTAGTACATAAGCACCTACCTATAGGATATGGGAGAATATTTTCGGATCTCAATATAGTGAAAGACATCTTAGACAGGACATACAAAGACTAAGGAAGGCAAATTTGATAAATTTTGAGTACACAAAAGTACTTTGGTTCATCAAAGGCCACCATTAAATGGGAAAAGTCATGTCACAGAGTGGAAGCAGGTAATTATAATACATATACCTGACAAAAGGTTTGTATCTAAAACTCCTATAAATAATAAAAAGGGACTGGGCTTGGTGGCTCATGCCTGTAATCCCAGCACTTTGGGAGGCCAAGGTGGGCGGATCATGAGGTCAGGAGTTCGAGAACAGCCTGGCCAATATGGTGAAACCCTGTCTCTACTAAAATACAAAAATTAGCTGGGTGTGGTGGCACGTGCCTGTAGTCCCAGCTACTAGGGAGGCTGAGGCCGAAGAATCTCTTGAACCCAGGAGGCGGAGGTTGCAGTGAGCCGAGACCATGCCACTGCACTCCAACTTGGGTGACAGAGTGAGACTCCGTCTCAAAAATAAATAAATAAATAAATAAATAATAAAAAGGACAATCCAGTAATAAAATTGGCAAGAGACTTGGAGAGGCACTTCACAAAAGAAGATTTTTAAATGGCCAAGAAATACGAGTCATTGGTGAAATACAAACTAAATTAGCATACATCTACCAGAATGGCCCCCCAAAAAAATTTTAACATGACCAAGTGTCAGAGAAGGTCCAGAGTAATGAAATGATGCTACAATGCTGGTAGCATTATATTTGGTACAACCCCTTTAGAAAATAGTTCGGCATTATCTACTGAAATTTAACATTCAAATTTCTATGACTTAACCGTTTCCATTCTGACATTTATATCCAACATAAATGTATGCACTGTAGCCAAGACACAAGAATATTCATAGCAGCATTATTCATAATAGCCCCAAACTGGAGTTAACCTAAGTATCATCAACAATAGATAGATAGCTCATGGTGGATTCATGGAATAACGTACAGCAATGACAGTGAACAAACTGGCTGGGTGCGGTGGCCCATGCCTGTAATCCCAGTACTCTGGGAGGCTGAGGAAGGCGGATCACCTGAGCTCAGGATTTTGAGACCAACCTGGCCAACATGGTGAAACCCCGTCTCTACTAAAAATACAAAAATTAGTTGGGCGTGGTGGTGGGCGCCTGTAGTCCCAGCTGCTCAGGAGGCTGAGGCAGGAGAATCGCTTGAAGCGAGGAGGTGGAGGTTGCAGTGAGCCGAGATTGCACCATTGCACTCCAGCCTGGGCAACAAGAGTGAGATTCTGTCTCAGAAAAAAAAAAAAAGAAAGAAAGTTAACAAACCTACCTACAATTACATGGGTGCATTTTTTGATGCAGATTTTGATGGATGCATCAATCAAAATAATGACTGAAATAAGCAAGACCCAAAAGAAAACATTCTTTTTCATTTTCCTTTATATGGAATTCAGAAAACAGGCCCAGTGAAGCAACAGTGTTTAGGAATGCTTACTTAGGTGGCCCAGCTATAAAGAAAGCAAGGAAATAATGTCCATAGTTGGGATAGTGGTTTTCTTACCTTAAGGAGGAAAGGATCAGGTAATGATTGGGAAGGTCATGAGTGGTGCTTCTGGAGTGTTAGAAGTGTTCTATTTCTTGGCCTGGGTGGTGTTTGTGATAATTTATTGAGGTATACACTTTTGTGTACTCTTCTACATTTGCGTTATATTTCACAATAGAAAAGATTTAAAAAGTTTTTTTTTTTTTTTTTTTTTTTTTTTAGACAGAGTCTTGCTCTGTCACCCAGGCTGGAGTGCAGTGGTGTGATCTCGGCTCACTGCAACCTCTGCCTCCCAGGTTCAAGCGATTCTCCTGCCCCAGCCTCCCAAGTAGCTGGGATTAGACACACACCACCATGCCTGGCTAATTTTGTATTTTTAGTAGAGGCGGGGTTTTACCATGTTGGCCAGGCTGCTCTGGAACTCCTGACCTCAAGCCATCTGCCTGCCTCGGGCTCCCAAAGTGCTGGAGTTACAGGTATAAGCCACTGCGCCCAGCCTAGAAAAGGTTTTTAAAAGAGTCAGTGTATAATGTAGTTAGTAAGAATGCTGACTTTGATCTTGGATTGCCTGAGTGCATATCACTTCTATTCGTATTTGCTGGTCATCTTGGGCATCATGATTTCTCCGAGCTTCAATTTCTTAAACTATAGAAAGGGAGTAATGATAGCATCAACTTCAGTGGTTCTATAATTCAGTGCAATTCAGTGACTATTCAATATGGTGATGCCTACAAAAAACTTAGAAAATAATTGACATATAGTAAGTGACCACTGAGTCTTGGTTATAATAACAAAGATGATCAGAATAAAGGTAGAATAGCTAGGTACTTTAATTAAGTTCAGATTTCTGGACCCAGTGAAATTCTATCCAGGAATTTTTGTCAGAGTTCTTTTTACAAGCCATATAAGTTAATTCTGGCTGTCTTAAGCAGAAAGAGGATTTATTAGAAGGAAAAAGGAGGCTCACTAAATTGTTAGAAGGCTGGAGGACTCCAGAGGCTAAGCAGCAAGAACAACTTGGCTGTTTGGCTGCCACTAGATGAATTCTGTCTCTCATTTGTCCCACTCCTGTTTCACCTTTTCCAGGTGGGAATATTTTAGATTATGTGCTTGTTCCCTGACTTCCTGGTACTGCGAAGAGAAGGATCTTCCATTTTGACTTCCACTGAGTACTATTGTCAGTGACAGTTCTCCCCAAGGAGGAAAAGGTTGAGTATTTTTGAAAGCCAGAAGATTGACAGATGACTTCTACGTCTGGGGTCCTGAAATAACTTGCAAATATACTTGTGCACCATCTTTGAGGGATGTCGGGGACTAGAAATGGACATACCTAGTTATCCTGAAGGGAAAGAGTATAATCCAGAATTTGGAGACCATTAAACTTGATCCAGATTTTCAGTAGAATATGTCATTTGAATGTAAAGAAAATAAGTGTTGCTAGGAGCCAGCATGGGCGAACTAAAAACACATTTGACTATCTAATTATTTTCTAATTATAGCCTTTCTAGTCTTTCATTACTAGTTAGGTCCTTTCTCTCTCTCATGGACTTCTGCAGAGGCCTCCTATCTGATCTCGTAAAATCCATCCTACCTATGGCTGCCATAGAATTGTACCAAAAAAATACAGGTTTGACCATGTCATTTACTAGCTTAAAATTATTCATCACCTTTGGGACAAAGGACCTTCACACACTTTTTCCTGCTAGATTGAAAGCATCATGAGAGCCAGAACTGTGTCTGCTTTGGATATTCTCTCCAGTACCTAGGATGTGGCCAGGCACTTACTAGGAATTTGGTTAAGTATCAAGTTAAATCACTGGGACCTGTGGCTCTCAGCTCATCTCTCTGCATTGGTGCAGTGGCCTCCAGCCACACTGAGCTGCCACGGTGGTATTTTTTTGTGTTCTTGGTTTTGTTCATTCAGCCTCCTTTGCCTGCAGTGCCCTTTTCCACTTGACTTGGCCAAGTCCTGGTCATTTTTGAATTCAGTGCAATTGTCATCTCTTTCAGGAAACCTTTGATACTTTTATTCCCTAAATTAGTTAACTATATGTGTATCTGTGACATCTAGTGCATAATTCTATCCTAAAGGATACCACACTTATATTACAACTGTCTGTTTATGAGTTTATCTTCCTCACTAGGCTGAGTTCCTTGAGGGCACAAATCATGTCTAATTTAACTGTATATTCCCTACATGGAATATACTGCCTGACATATAGCAGGGGTCCAGTAAAGTTCTGTTGAATTTAGGCAAAGTCATTAACTCAAATTTCCCTTTTTCATGTGGTTGCTGTATATACAGTATATTTTGATTTTGGCAAAATATTTGGCTGAGTGATATCTGAAGGAGATTCAGTGGGCTGCTTTAAATGGATAAATATCATTGTTGAGTGGAAGAGGTAGGTTAAGTAGTATGTGTGGTCAGAATTCCCTTATTAAACAACAAAAAAGGCAACTGATTTTTATGCATAAAAGAGCTTGTTTCAGCCATATGAGCTCTTAAAGGATGACAAATTAAAACAGTAGTGTTTCATCGTGTTCTATCTATAGAATGGCAGCAGTTATAAGGAATGATTATATCTAGTGTTAGTGAGAATGTGGGGAAATGGTTACACTCGGATATCCACTCCTAGTAGAAGTGAATTTTGGAGAGAAATTGGGCAATGTGTATAAAAGTGTTAATGTGTAGACCTTGACAAGGTTTTTCAGTTCTGGGGACTTGTCCTATAGAAATGAAGTAAAAAAAGGCTTAAATAACAAAATGCAAGCTGGGGGTGGTGAGGGTGCCTGTATTCTCAGCTACTTGGGAGGCTGAGGCAGGAGGATCACTTGAGCCCAAGAGTTTGAGGCTGCAGTGAGCTCTGATTATGCCACCAGACTCCAGCCTGGGCAACACAGTGAGACTCCATCTTAAAAAAAATATCATGGCTCATGCCTGTAATCCTAACACTATGGATGGCCCGTGTGGGAGGATTGCTTGAGCCTAGGAGTTTGAGACCAGCCTGGGCGTCATAGGGAAACCCCATCTCTACAGAAAAATTTAAAAATTAGCCAGATGTGGTGATGCATACCTGTGGTCCTAGCCTCAGCCTCCTGAGTAGCTAGGAGCTACTCGAGAGGTTAAGGCTGCAGTGAGCTGTGATTGCAAAACTACACTTGAGCCCTAGAGGTCAAGGCTGCAGTGAGCTGTGATCACAACACTACACTCCAGCCTGGGTGATAGAGCAAGATCCTGTCTCAAAAAGAAGAAGAAGAAGAAAAAAAAGAAAGTGGTCTAATGCATTAAAAGATAAGAGAAGTGCAAATTAAAATTAATATACTATTCTTCACATATCAAGTTCTGCCAATTTTCTAACAGTTTGACAATGTACTCTGATGTGCCAGGTGTGGGGAAACGGGCACTCATATATTGATGCAGTGAATGTAAAATAGATGATCCTTGTGGAGAATTTGGTTCAGAAATTCCACTCTCAGGAATCTATCCCAAAGATACACTAGCAAAAATATGAAATATGCACAAGGCATTGTAGCACAGTTTGCAATATTAATAGACTGGAAATAACCCTGATGTCTATTGGTAGGGACATGAGTATGGTGTACATCCACACAGTCAAGTATGCCAGTTTAAAAAGTAATGAGCCAGCTGTGGTGGCATGCACCTAAATCCTAGCAACTCAGGAGACTGAGGCAGGAGGAATGCTTGAGCCCAGGAGTTTGAGTACAGCCTAGGCAACATTAAAAAAAAAAAAGAGGAATAATGTTAGGCTATTTATTTGAGATACTATTATTATGATTATTATTTTAGAGACTGGGTCTGACTCTGTCACCCAGGCTGGAGTGCAGTGGCATGATTATGGCTCACTGCAGCCTGGAACTCAAGTGATCCTCCTGTCTCAGCTTCCCAAAGTACTGGGATTACAGGCCTGAGCCACCATGCCTGGCCTCTTCTTTTTTAATGTAAGAATTTATTGCTATCAACATTCTTCTTAGAACTGCTTTTGCTTTCGTTGCATCCCCTAGGTTTTAGTATGTTATATTTCCATTCTCTTTTGTCTCAAGATACGTTTCTCTTTTGATTTCTTCTCAACCAATCTATTGGTTGTTCAGGAGCAGGTTGTTTAATTTCCACATCTTTGTGATTTTTCCCTGAATTCCCTCTGTTACTGATTTCTAGTTTTTTTACCATTGTGGTTGGAAATAATACTTGTTATGATTTCAGTTATAAATTTGTTAAGACTTGTTTTGTGGCCTAACATCTGATCTATTCTGGAGAATGTTACATATGCAATGGAGAAGAATGTGTATTCTGCTACTGTTGTATGGAAAATTGGGCCCATTTGGTCCTAAGTGTAGTTCAAGCCTAGTATTTCCTTATTACTTTTCTGTCTAGTTGATGTATCCATTGTTGAAAATGGGATATTGAGGTCCCCTACTATTCTTATATTGCTATCTATTTTCCCCCTTCATGTCTATTAAAATTTGGTTTATACCTTTAGGTGCTCTGATGTTGAGTGCATATGTATTTATAATTGTTATGTCCTCTTGATGGCTTGACCCATTTATCATCAAATAATGGCCTTCTTTGTTTCGTGTGACAGTTTTTAGACTTTATTTTGTCTAAGTACAGCCACCTCTGCTCTTTCTTGGTTACTGTTTACATGGAATATCTTTTTCAATTCTTCCACTTTCAGCCTGTATGTGTTCTTAAAGCTAAAATGAGTCTCTTGTGGGCAGCATATAGGTTGGATCTTAGTTTTTTTTAATCCATTCACCCACTCGGTGTCTTCTAATTGGAGAACTTAATCCATTTACATTCAAGCTTATTATTGATAGGGAAGGACTTACTTCTGCTATTTTGTTAATTGTTTTCTGGTTGTTTTGTAGAGCCCTTGTTCCTTTCTTACTCTTGTTTTCCTTTGTGATTTGGTGATTTTCTATAATGCTGAGCTTTGATTCCTTTCTCTTTATTATTTGTTTATCTGGGGTGGTTTTTTGCTTTGTGGTTACCATGAGGCTTATGTAGAATAAATTGTAGTTAGAATAGCTTATTTTAAACTGGCAACAACTTTAGATGTAGAAAGAAATTTACTCAACGTAATAAAGACTGCTTATGAAAAACCCAAAGCCAGTGTCATAATCAGTGTGGAAAAATGAAAACTTTTTCTCTATGATCTGGCACAAGGCAAGGATGACCACTCTCATCACTTCTATTCAACATAGTAATGGAAGTGCTAGCAAGAGCAAGCAGACAAGAAAAAAAAAAGGCATACAATTAGCTGAATGGTAGAAGTTATGTCCATTTGCAGATGACATGATCTTATATGTAAATAACCCCAAAAACTCTACAAAAAAAACTTAGAATTAATAAATGATATCAATAAAGTTGCAGGATAAAAAATCAGTGCACAAAAATCAGTTGCATTTCTGTACACAGTAACAACCTATCCAAAAAATCAAGAAAATAATCCCAATTTACAGTAGCATAAAGAATACTTAATAAATTAGCCTAGCGTGGTAGCCCATGCCTGTTGTGTCAGCTACTCGGGAGGCTGAGGTGGGAGGATTGCTTGAGCCATGGAGGTCGAGGCTGCAGTGAGCTGTGATTGTGCCACTGCACTCCAGCATGGCTTACAGAGACCCTGTCTCAAGAAAAAAAATACTTATGAATAAACTTAACCAGAAAGATCTGGACACTTAAGACTATAAAACACTGATGAAAGAAATTAAGAAGACACAAACATATGGGAAGATCTATCCTGTGTTCATGATTTGGAAAAATTAATATTGTTCAAATGTTCATACTACCCAAAACAATATGCAGATTTAACACAATCCCAATCCAAATTCTAATGACATTCTTCACAGAAGTAGAAAAAACAATTCTAAAATTTGTATGTAACCACAAATACCCTGAATATACAAGCAATCCTAAGAAAGAAAACATTGAGGCATCACACTTTCTGATTTCAAATTCTATTAAAAGCTATAGTAATTAAAACAGTATGGTGCTAGTATAAAAACAGCAGATCAGAATTGAGAGCCTAGAAACAAACCCAAGCATATATGACCAACTAATTTTTGACAAAGGCACTAAGAGGACACAGTGGGGAAAAGATAGTCTCTTCAATAAATGGTTCTGGGAAAACTGGATTTCCACATGCAAAAGAATGGAAATGGGCCGGGCGTGGTGGCTCATGCCTGTAATCCCAGCACTTTGGGAGGCCAAGGTGGGCAGATCACTTGAAGTCAGAAGTTTGAGACCAGCCTGGTCAACATGGTGAAACCCTGTCTCTACTGAAAATACAAAAAAATTAGCTGGGCATGGTGGCATGCACCTGTAATCCCAGCTACCTGGGAGCCTGAGGCAGGAGAATCACTTGAACCTGGGAGACAGAGGTTGTTGCAGTGAGCCGAGATTGTGTCACTGCACTCCAGCCTGGGTGACAGAGTGAGACTCTGTCTGAAAAAAAAAAAAAAAAAAAAAGGCAAAGGATCTGAATGGGTGTTTTTCCAAAGAAGACGTAAAAATGGCCAACAGGTACATGAAAAGATGTTCAACATCAGTAGTCACAAGGGAAATGCAAATTAAAACCACAATGAGATATATCACCTCATGCCTGTTAGGATGACTTCTCTTTGGTAAGAGATAACAACTGTTGGTACAAATGTAGATGATGCAGCCATTGTGAAAAATAGTATGGAAATTCCTAAATAAAAGTAGAACTACCACATGACCCAGTAACCCCCATTCTGAATATATACCCAAAGGAAGTGAAATCACCGCCTCAGATACCTGTTCATTGTCGCATTATTCACAATAGCCAAGATATGAAAACAATCTATGTGTCCGTTGACAGACAAATGAATAAAGAAGCTGTGGTGTGCATACATACACACAGAGGAATATTATTTAGCCTTATAAAAGAAGGAGATCTTGCCATTTACCACACATGGATGAGCCTGGATGACATTATATTAAGTAAAATAAGCCAGACACAAAAAGAAAAATACTGCTCGATCTCTCTTATATATGTAATCTAAAAAAAAAAAAGTCAAGTACACAGAAACAGGATAAAATAGTGGTTACTAGAGGTGGTGGTGGTGGTGGTGATGGTAGAGGAAAGGGGGAGGTGTAGGTCAAAGGATACAAAGTAGAGATACATAGGATGAACAAGTCTAGAGATCTAATGTACAATATGAGAACTATGGTTAATAATATTTTGCTTGGGAATTTTACTAAAAGGAAATTTTAGGTGCTTTTGCCACATACAATGGCCAACAGGTATATAAAAAGATGTTCAACATCACAAAAAGAGAGGATAGCTGTGGGATGATGGATTTGTTGATTTGCTTGATATGGTAACCATTTCACCATCTATATGTATATCAAAACATTATGTTGTACACCTTAAACATATACAATTTAAAAATTTAAAGTAATGAGGAAGATCTGTGTAATCTTTTCCAGACACACCATGAATGGAGTTCCAATCTTGGAATGCCACTTTTTCTGGACCTAACTCTTGAATGACCATGTTAATTCATTCAATTTTTTTTTCTATTATTTGTCATAGTTGTTGAAAGCCAAAGAGCTGCTGAGAACTGTAAATTTTTTCTCACTGTCAGAGTGCCCATGATGATATCATCCTGTACCACAGAATGTGAATTACATTTGAAATTGGCAGATTGAGGTACTCCATTTATCAAAACATCTCCAGATAATCATGTGGATCTTTTCTTTGCAGCTCAGACATCTAACAACCATGGTTTGCCTCCACCTGTGTGTACCAGAATGGCGTTGAGGCCAGGTTTCATTACTCCTTTGATATTCATTAATATTTCTTTTTAAACTGTTTTTTGATCAAGTAGAAAGCCACTCTTCAGTTTTACTCGATAGCAGATATTATGAAAACAACACAGCTCCCCAGTAAATGTCTTCAGGTCGTTGTAGGTTGTCCTGGGTAGGTCATGTTGTTTCATCATTGGTATTTCTTTGTGACACTGGGATAAAAACTTGGACATTACTGGGAGACATCTGGAGAATTTCTGCCTGTTTTTATATAATAAACCAGTGTTTATTATAAAGGATAAACAGCCAGATGAAGAGGTAAATAGGGCGAGGCCTGGAAGGGTCCTGAGTGCAGGAGCTTCCGTCTGCATGGAGTTGGGTTGCACCACTGAATGTGGATAAATTCACCAACTTGAAAGCTCTTCTAGGCTGTGTTGTTAAGTGATAAAAACAAGTTGTAGCTGGGCGCAGTGGCTCATGCCTGTAATCCTAGCACTTTGGGAGTCCGGGGTGGGCATATTGCTTGAGCTCAGGAGTTTTGAGATCAGCCTGGGCTACATGGCAAAACCCCATCTCTACAGAAAATTTAAAAAATTAGCCAGGTGTGGTGGCATGGGACTGTGGTTCCAGCTACTTGGGAGCCTGAGGCAGGAGAATCGCTTAAGCCAGGGAGGTTGAGACTGCATTGAGCTGTGATCGCACCACTGTACTCCAGCCTGGGTCACACAGCAAGACCCTGTCTCAAAAACAAACAAACAAACAAACAAACAAAAAAAAGTTGCAGAAGAAGAATGTGTATTTTTTTCTAAGATGGGGGCAACATACAACTATATGTATATGTATTTCCTTATGTTTTCAAAAACAAATAATGGAAGGTTAAAAGCTAAGGAGAAGAATGTTATAATATCCATATCCTTAGTTATACTGTTATTCGTTTAAAACTATTATATTTACATTGTAGAAGAAAGCAAATATGTATATATGTGAATATTATTAAGATCCAGGATTTTCCACAACAAGACCGAAAAATACAAATATAGAATTAAAGTTAGGTTAAAAATCTTGTAATCTGGGCTAGGCGTGGTGGCTCACGCCTGTAATCCCAGGACTTTGGGAGGCTGAGGCGGGCAGATCACGAGGTCAGGAGTTTGAGACCAGCCTGACCAACATGGTGAAACCCTGTCTCTACTAAAAATACAAAAATTAGCTGGGCGTGGTGGCATGTGCCTGTAATCCTAGCTACTCAGGAGGCTAAGGCAGAATTACTTGAACCCAGGAGGTGGAGGTTGCAGTGAGCAGAGATTGCGCCACTGCACTCTAGCCTGGGCGACAGAGCAAGACTCCGTCTCAAAAAAAAAAAGAAAAATCCTGTAATCTGAATTAGAAGTATTTGCATGAATTCATTTTACATGTATATTTTTATATGTGATATTAATATATGACATTTAGGATATATATATATTCGTGTGTGTGTGTGTGTGTGTGTGATATATTACATTGATTGTGGTCTTTAAATACAATTTCTTTTTTTTTTTTTTTTTTTTGGAGACAGAGCCTCACTCCATCACCCAGGCTGGAGTGCCTTGGCACGATCTCAGCTCACTGCAACCTCCGCCTCCTAGGTTCCAGCGATTCTCATGCCTCAGCTTCCCAAGTACCTAGGATTACAGATGTGTGCCACCATGCCCAGCTAATTTTTGTATTTTCAGTAGAGATGGGGTTTCACCATGTTGGCCAGGCTGGTCTCCATCTCCTGACCTCAGGTGATCCACCTGCCTCAGCCTCCCAAAGTGTTGGGATTACAGGTGTGAGCTACCATGCCCAGCCTTTAAAGACAATTTCTAATGAAAAAGAACCAGGACTCCTTAGAGAAATAGTTGATTCCAAGTGTGGGACAGGCATTTATAAGATTTTAAAGCTCAGAACTTATGCTATAAGCAAGACCAGTGGTGTCATCTTAAAAGGACACAAGAGCCAACTTTGAGGAGCTCCCACAGGCCAAAATTAGGAAAACTTGAAGCACATAAAATATGCTAAAATTCATGTGTTTCTAACGATACTTCAAAGAACAAATCATTGGTTACCTTTGGAGGTTGTTATGATTCTAAGTCAGTTGGTGAAGGATCAAGTCTTTATCCTGCTTTTCTCTTATGACTGTGTCAGAGTAGCCAAATAGTTGATGAGGGGAAATTTTGTTTTTAGTAGAATTCCAACTAAGAACAACTGTAGAAAGTGCTAGAATTGGAAAAGTCATTTTCTAGTTTTTAATGAAATCCTGTATCTATTTTAGACAATGATCATGAATGCCTGCTAAAGCCACTAGGTGCAGGGTTAATGAGGAGCTTGATGGTGGATTAGGCTGAAAACATGAACCTAATCTTTTTATCATTAAACTTGTAATAACCATAGATTATGTGCCTCTTAATGTAATACAATAGGAATTACATATGTTACTTCTGGAATATTCTTGCAAGAACAAAACTGAACCTGAATTGAGTCAAGCCTCTAGATCAACACAGTCCAATAGAATTGCTTTGATGGTGAAAATGTGCTCCCTGGCAACAGTAGCCATTAGCAACTCATGGCTATTGAGTACTTGAAATGTGGCTAGTTGAGATGGGTGGACCGAATTTTAAATTCTTTTAAATTTAAATTTAGCTACGTGTACTAGTAATTACTATACTGGACAGTGAAGCTCTACATCTATGACCGGTTTATAGGAAATATAGTGCATAAAATAATCTGTTAAGTGATACCGTGAAAAGGCAGTCAGCCAAATTCAGAATGTTTGAAAAGTCTGCAGATCAGTTTTTTAAAATGTCAACAAATATATTGTATACAGACCCATGGTGGTGAGGATTGATGTAGATTAAGAGATTATAAGGTAAATTTAGTGTGTGAACTTTATTTGGATTCTGATTCAAACAAACCAGCTCCTAAGAAGAAATTCTGGGAGACAACTTGGAGAAATTTGAACATGGGCTGGGTATGAGATGATATTGAGGAATTGCCAATTTTGTAGGAGTGATAATGTTGTTGTACCTGTGTTGAAAGTCTTCTTCTTTAGAGATTTGTTCTAAATGAATGTAATGGTAGATACAATGATGTCTGGGCTTTGTTTGAAATAATCTGTTGGTGAGTGGGGCAAGAAGGTAGGGCATGGAGGAAACCAGGCCAAGTAAAATCTTGTTGAAAACATAGGTAGGGTGCATGAGTCTTCATTCTACTGTGATCTAATTTTGTGATTTTGTATATGTTTAACATTTTCTACAATAAAGGTTTTTAAACAGCAGTAATTAGTTAAAATATATAAAGAATAGCAAGGAATAATTTACTCAGAATTTGGAACAGGGAATATAGGATAGGAAAGGGCATTGGGTAGGGGAATTCTAAAGTACTAATAATTCACCTAGTTAGTAGGTATGCAGGTATTTGTATTATTAATATTTTAGCTCTGTATCTTCTTTTCATGCAATCTTTCATATGTGTGGTTTATTTCACAATAAAAAGAAAAAAAGAGCTCATTGTTACTATGTAAGGCCTCTTACAGACTCCAGTTGGAGGAGCACACTTGAACCTCATGGTGTTACAAAGTAGCCTCTCTGGTCTGTTTCTCTCCTAGACTCAGAGGTCCCCTTGTTTTTCTTTCCCTTTACTTGAATGCATCATTGTACTTTCTGAAAATTATCTTCTCTGCTTAGTCATCTGCTTTTATGTGGCCTGTGAAGGCTTCTCCCAAAAGGCAGGCTCAGCTCCTAAACTGACAAAGTTCTCCACAGTCTGTTTCCGTCTTGGATACCAACTCCAGATTTTACGGAAGAGAATCGGACTGACTTTTGGGCAGGTGCTCACCGGAAACCAATGAACTATGGCCAACACAATGTACCTTGATCATAGGAACTGCCACTTCCAAGGCTGTTGAGGGGGGAGGTTCTTAAGAAAATGTTGTAGATAATGCCAATAGAACATCATTATCTCTAACAGTCTATAACAATCTGTAATTGTTATAGACAGCATCATTGCCTGTAACAATGAAAGATTTGGAATAAGCACTAGCTCTACCAGTAGAAGGTTAAGAATTGGTGGGACAACGTATGGGATAATATGTAGCCGTTTAAAATTATGATATAGCCCTATCTTTATTGACTCTGAAAAATGTTCATTAAAAGTGTTTATTGGCCATGGTGGGTCACGCCTGTAATCCCAGCACTTTGGGAGGCCGAGGCGGGTGGATCACCTGAGGTCAGGAGTTTGAGACCAGCTTGGACAACATGGTGAAAACCCATCTCTACTAAAAATACAAAAAATTAGCCGGGTGTGGTGGTGTGTGCCTGTAATTCCAGCTACTCAGGAGGCTGAGGCAGGAGAATCGCTTGAACACGGAGACAGAGGTTGCAGTGAGCTGAGATCATGCCATTGCACTCCAGCCTGGGCAACAGAGCAAGACTATGTCTCAAAAAAAAAAAAAAAGTGTTTAGTGCATGTCCTTTCAGAAACACACACACACACACACAATACATATACATTTGTATTTGTATGCATATATGTATAAATGTATTTCTCAAGGGATATACATCAAAATGTTAACAGTTGGCCAGATGCTGTGCTGTAACCCCAGCACTTTGGGAAGGGGAGGTGGGAGGACCGCTTGAGCCCAAGAGATCAAGACTAGCTTGGGCAACATAAAGAAACCTCTTGTCTTTTTTTTTTTTTTGAGACAGAGTTCTTCCTTCGTCACCCAGGCTGGAGTACAGTGGTGCAATCTTACCTCACTGCAACCTCTTCCTCCAGGGTTCAAGTGATTCTCCTGCCTCAGCCTCCCAAGTAGCTGGGATTACAGGTGCTCGCCACCACACCTACCTAATTTTGGTATTTTCTAGTAGGACAGGGTTTTGCCGTGTTGGCCGGGCTGGTCTTGAACTCCTGACCTCAGGTGATCCACCTTCCTCGGCCTCCCAAAGTGCTGGGATTACAGGCATGAGCCACTGCACCCAGCCAACCTTGTGTCTTTTTTTAAAAAGTTAACAGTGGTAATCTTTGGTTAGTGGGGTTACGGTTAGTTTGTTGTTGTTTTGCTTATCTGTATTTCCTGATTTATTTTTTTTACAGTGAACAATGGATTATCTGTATATTAAAAATTATTTTAAAGGAAATAAAGTCTGGAAGGGTAGATGCAAAATGTTTTCTTATCTGTACTTTTTTCTACAATGAACAAAGCATTATTAGTATAATTTCAAAAAGTTAATTTGAAATAAGTAATAGGGTATATAAAGTCCTGGTTTTAAGTTAAAAAATCAATTATTTTCCAAAAGTCTATTTTAAAAATAGAGCATAGGAGAGAGTGGGCTTAGAAAAAGTTTATTTTTATAAGCCCTGGAGATCTTGATTGACTTATTTAGGCCAACAGTAAGTTTGCAGTTAAGAAATCTAGTGCCTGGTTAAGGTATTATGTCAAGAAATATTGTGTCCTTTTTAAGAGGTTATTGTCAGTGTAGTCTGCACGGATTGGAACACACCTGGAAAAGTTGTTCATTTTGGCTCCTTTCTTTAAATGGAACAAACTAAGTGGAGCGGCTAAAGGGAGCCAGCATGGTCACAGGCTATATAGTGTGAAGATGACCAGCCTGAGGAGAAGGAACTTGTGGAAATGTGACAGCCAGCTGTCAATATGGGAAAGGATATTGTCGGGAGTAGTGGTCAAAGAGTAGAATTTATTAGAAAGCACACTTCACTTAGGTCAACAGAGGGGAGAACTTTCTCTTTGCATTTTCCCTCAGTGAATGGGCCTCTTTACAGAGTGGCAGAGACTGGGGAACAGTGTTTCTTTGTTGGGAGAAAAATTAGATGGCAGGAGCTCTAAGGTCTTTCTGCCTGTGAGACTGAATTGACCCAAAGAAAAATAGATCTTGGATGGGCACAGTGGCTCACGCCTGTAATCTCAGCACTTTGGGAGGCTGAGGTGGGAGGATCACTTGAGCCCAGGAATTCAAGACAAGCCTTCCTGGGCAACATAGTGAGACCCCCATCTCTACAAAAAAAAAAAGAAAAAAATCAGTCTGGCATGGTGGGGTGTGCCTGTGGTCCCAGCTACTCAGGAGGCTGAGGTGAGAGGATCGCTTGAACCTGGAAGGTTGAGGTTGCCAAGAGGCCGAGAGTCATAATTGTGTCACTGCACTCCAGCCTGGGTGATAGAGGGAGACCCTGTCCCCCTCCAAAAAAAAAAAAAAAACAAAGAAAAGAAAAGAAAAATAGATCTTGTTCACATATAAAACATGAGACTAAATTAAGCTTGGATTAAAAATTTTGCCTGTCATTTTCACTTTGAGTTTGCTACCAAACTCTGAAACTTTCAATGTTTGAAGTTTACTTAAGTTGCATTTTGTATTGAGAAGTAAACTTCAGTCTTCAGTGTCTTGTTGTCTTACACAGAGGGAGTTTAATGAGGGGCTGTCTAAATGCACTAAACCATATGCTATCTGGGTGTTCAAGGAAAGGCTAAATGAATAACCCACAAAACTAAGTAGCATCTGATGGTTAAGGGCACAACTGCCTGGGTTTGAATCCTGTCTCTATGCCTTAAGTTCCTTACTGCAAAAATGGCTGTGATAAGACCAGCCATACATAGGCTTCTTTTGAGCTTGAGAACATGGCCTTCATTATGCATTTCACCTATATACTCCTTGAGGGCACCTAGTTATTCAGTAAATCATTGGTAAATGAGTGATTGAATAAATAAATGAAAATACAAAAGTCCTTTACCTGACCTTGGGTACATTGATCTGAGCTTATTGAATGTAGAAGTGACACTTTATACTTTGATGCTAAATTCAGTTTATCTTACATCCCACTCTGCCCTCTATGTTCTGCCTAATTTAACCATCTGCTTTCTGAGGAATATGATTTCTTTCTTTTTATTAATTTTTTTTAATTGAGTTGGAGTCTCGCTCTGTCGCCCAGGCTGGAGTGCAGTGGTGTGATCTCAGCTCACTGCAACCTCCACCTCCTGGGTTCAAGTGACTCTCCTGCCTCAGCCTCCTGAGTAGCTGGGATTACAGCTGCGTGCCACCATGCCCGGCTAATTTTTATATTTTTAGTAGAGACATGGTTTCGCCATGTTGGCCAGGCTGGTCTCGAACTCCTGACCTCAAGTGATCCGCCCACCTCGGCCTCCCAAAGTGCTGGGATTACAAGTGTGAGCCACCGTGCCTGGCCCTATTTTTTTTTTAATTTTTAAAATTTATTATTATTATTTTTGAGACGGAGTTTTGCTGTTGTTGCCCAGGCTGGAGTGCAATGGTGTGATCTCTGCTCACTGCAACCTCCGCCTCCCGGGTTCAAGTGATTCTTCTGCCTCAGCCTACCAAGTAGCTAGGATTACAGGTGTGCACCATCATGCCTGGCTAATTTTGTATTTTTAGTAGAGATGGGGTTTCACTGTGTTGATCAGGCTGGTCTTGAACTCCTGACTCACCTCAGCCTCCCAAAGTGCTGGGATTACAGGCATGAACCACTGCATCTGGCCTTAATTTTTTTTAGAGACAGGGTCTTGCTCTGTTGCCCAGGCTGGTTTTGAACTCCTGGTCTCAAGCAATCCTCCTGCCTTGGCCTCCCAAAGTGTTGGGATTATAGGTGTGAGCCACTTCACCTGGCAGAAATATGATTCTTAAATTAGGATTAATTTTTGGAGCCTTGTTTTAGAAATGATTTATTTTTTATGAATGAGATATGACTGTCTGAGAATACTTGGATGTGATGACTTGAATAATTTATGTGTTGGGCCTCTGAGAGTATAAAGTTCATACCAGAATATTTTTGGGAAGAATTTGGTTGAAATTGCTAGATTTTTTTAAAGGTACAAGATAATTATGATTGTATTCCCTCTCAGATATTGAATTCTTTCTTTCTATGGTTTTCTAGAGAATGAAGATCTAGAAAACAAGGATACCTCTTTATTGGCTTCTGCCACCGATCCAGAACCCTGCTCCTCACCCCACAGGTAACCACTTTGGATAGAATGCTTTCACAGGTTTTATCTTCTGAGATGAGGAACTGGTGAAAGAAATAGGTAGTGACTTTAAGCGGGGAGGCAAGTTAAAGTAAAGAATGTGGGCCGGGCGCAGTGGCTCACGCCTGTAATCCCAGCACTTTGGGAGGCCAAGGCGGGTGGATCACGAGGTCAGGAGATCGAGACCATCCTGGCTAGCACAGTGAAACCCCGTCTCTACTAAAAATCCAAAAAAAAAAAAAAAAAAAAAAATTAGCGGGGCGTGGTGGCCAGACTACACGCCTGTAGTAGCTGGGACTACAGGCGCGCACCACCACGCCTGGCTAATTTTTGTATTTTTTAGTAGAGACGGGGTTTCATCATATTGGACAGGCTGGTCTCGAACTCCTGACCTTGTGATCCGCCCACCTCGGCCTCCCAAAGTGCTGGGATTACAGGCGTGAGCCACCGCGCCGGGCCAGGGATTTAATTTTTAACTTTTGTTTCTAACATTTGCTGAGTGAAGATAAAAATCCAGTGAATGTGATGCCTGAGGCTTACTTCTTATGCTTATGTGTCTATTGGAAATGGAAACGGCACAACTTTCTATCTTTTCTAGTGAGGCTGGCTTGCCGGCCAGGCTCTCCCCTTCCTTTGAGATGGCCTCCCTGCTCCAGGTCAGTACAAACCAGAAGCTTAAAGCGGAGGCTTTTCCTTTATGTGGCTTATCACCAGCATCAAATAATTTGAAATTAATCTTTCCCCAAATGCCCTTTTCTAATTCTCCAGAGCATAAAATGCTAATTGTGAATATTAAATTTATGTGGGTGGCACATATCCTGTTTAACATAATTTTATTATTTAATTATTTCTTGAGACAGAGTCTTGCTTTGTTGCCCAGGCTGGAGCACGGTAGGCAGTCATAACTCACTGCAGCCTCAAGCTCCTGGACCATGCAACCCTCCCATCTCAGCCTTGTGAGTAGCTAGGACCACAGGCATGAGCCACCACACCGAGCCTTAAAATATGTTTTTTAAATAAGCAGAACCATGTTTTTTCAGAGTAGCATGCACAAAGACAAAGAGACAATTTTAGATGTCACACACAGTAAGTCAAGCTAATGATTCAGATAGCCTGTTGTAGTCTCACCTTTCCAATATTATAAATGATAGTCTGATCCAGAATTTCTCTTTTATTCCCAGGCAAAAATTAACTTATTCATTTTTTATTCAACAAATATTTTGGGGCTAATATTTATTCAACAGATGTTTGTTGGGAGCCTACCATGTACCTGATACTGTTCTAGGTACTAAAGAAACCACAAATGAACAAAATAGTCCATCACTGCTCTCAGGGAGCTTATGTTCTAGTGGGGGAAGTGGACAGAAAACAATTACACATCATACTTCACAGACTCTTAAGTTGCCGTCAACTGTAAGTTGTGCTTTCACGTCCCACCAAGAGAGGAAGAAATGCTTAAGATGGATCATCTAATAGACCCCCCATATGCAACTGGGATACCAAAAACCTGCACCTTCAGTGAAAATATAAAGACAAAAATCCCCCACACAGAAAAGGACAGCAAGGAAGCTTGATTGTCTCAAACTTGACACTGTGTCATAGGAGGAAAAAATATCTCCCCTGAGAATAGGAACCACCAGTTGGTATTAGCCAGTGTCTTGTCTAAATTCACTCTGCCAGGAGGATTAAACAAAACCCTAAACAGAGAACTTAATTTCAAGAAGTCTCAGATTGGTAGCATTCCTAAGTACTGGCAGAAGCAAATGCAAATCTCTCGTGGAAAGAGTTGATGTCAATCCAGGCCCACGGCACTTTTAAGATATCATCAATTTTTAAGACATCCTATCTTTCAGTTGTGTTAAAATCTAAAAGCCAGTGTGCATCTTGCAATCAACAAAATATGCTCCATATCATGTCAGGCAGTAATAGGTGCAGTGAAGAAAAATGAAGCTGGGTAAGGGCAGAAACAGTGACAAGGCCAGGAAGGGGCACACATTTTATATACAGACCTCTGAGAAACCTCTCAGCAGAAAACCTGCAGGAAGGAAGTCTTCAGTTAACTAAAGAAGAGTTAATGTCCTAGAAGAGTATTCTAGGCAGAGATTACAGCAAATGCAAAAGCTCTCAAGTGGGAGAGTACTTGGGGTGTTTGAGGACTATCAAGGATTGAAGAGGCTGTTGTGGCTGGAGGGACCAGGGCAGAGTGAGGATTCTGAGAGGTGAGGTCAGAGTGCAAAGGGCCTTAGGGCTGGGCGAGGTGGCTCACGCCTGTAATCCCAGCACTTTGGGAGGCAGAGGCGGGTGGATCATCTGAGGTCAGAAGTTTGAGACCACCCTGGCCAACATGGTGAAACCCCGTCTCTATTAAAAATACAAAAAATTAGCCAGGCATGGTGGTGCACACCTGTAGTCCCAGCTACTCAGGAGGCTGAGGCAAGAGAATTGCTTGAACCAGGGAGGCAGAGTTGCAGTGAGCCGAGATCCGAGATCATGCCACTACACCCCAGCTTGGGCGACAGAGCAAGACTCTGTCTCCAAAAAAAAAAAAAAAAAAAAAGGGCCTTAGAGTTCCAGGTGGCAGGCTTGGTTCCCAGTGCTGTGCATACAGAGGCAGTGAGACCCAGTGCCTGCCACCAAGCTTACTTTCTAGTAGAGGAGGCAGATGATACACAGTGTCAAGAAACAGAAATGGACTATAATTTCTGGGTTGAAGAGCATTAAAATAGACCCACAGCCTAGGCCAGTTTACAGCTTACACTGAATTACCCAAGTGAACCTATAAAGATCAACAGAATCCCACAGCTCTGATTCTTGGAGTGACCTCCTCTTGTCTGTCCTGAGGTAGGTTGGAGTAATTTTGGATATTCCAAAAGATGGCTCTGTTTTATCTGAAGGAGTGATTCTTCTTGTTTATGTTAAAAAAGAAAAGAAACAAACTAATAAACTCTAAAATGAAGCCTCCGTTTCCCCCATGAGGTGTATACTACCATTTTCCAGTCATTTACTCAACCTCTTTGAGGAAATGATGCCCTCAAGCAGGGATTCTCAGACCTTTATACTCTTAAAAATTATTAAGGACCCAAAGAATTTTTGTTTGTGTGGGTTATATCTATCAATATTTACTATATTAGAAATTAAAACAGCCGGGCGCGGTGGCTCATGCCTGTAATCCCAGCACTTTGGGAGGCCAAGGTGGGTGGATCACGAGGTCAGGAGATCGAGACCATCCTGGCTAACATGGTGAAACCACGTCTCTACTAAAAATACAAAAAAATTAGCTGGGTGTGGTGGCCGGCGCCTGTAGTCCCAGCTACTCGGGAGGGTGAGGCAGGAGAACGGAGTGAACCCGGGAGGCGGAGCTTGAGTGAGCTGAGATCGCGCCACTGCACTCCAGCCTGGGCGACAGAGTGAGACTCCGTCTCAAAAAAAAAAAGAAATTAAAACTGAAAAATTAGAATATGGTTATTTGTTCATTTAAAAATAATAACTCATGACATGCTATATATAAAACATGTTTTTACTTAAAAACAACTAATTTTCAAAGCAAAGAATGTAGTACAAAGAGAGACATAAATCTCTTTAATGTTTGGCTTAATAAAAGGCAGTTGGATTCTCAGCTCTGCTTCTGAGTTCATTCTATTGCGGTATCACATGTCATATAGTCTCTGGAAAATTCCACTGCACACTCTTGAGAAAATGAGAATGAAAAAAGGGAAATAACATTTTAGTGTTATTATGAAACAGTTTGAACTTCATAGACTCCCCCGAAGGGCCCCTAGACCATACTTGGATAACTGCCATTCAAAAAAATCCATGTCACCTTTTATCAGCAACAGATTCCCAAAAGGCCTGGGTTATTTTGCTACAACCGTGGCACTAATTTTCTAGTTTTTGTGAGGCCAGGGGAAATGGAAGAGAGCATAAATCATTCCCTTGCATCTTTATAATCAACTATTCATGGCTGAGCACGGTGGCTCACGCCTGTAATCCTAGTACTTTGGGAGGCCGAGGCAGGCAGATCACCTGAGGTCGGGAGTTCAAGACCAGCCTGACCAACAACATGGAGAAACACTGTCTCTACTAAAAATACAAAATTAGCCGGGTGTCGTGGCACATGCCTGTGATCCCAGCTACTCGGGAGGCTGAGGCAGGAGAATTGCTTGAGGTTGTGGTGAGATGCATCACTGGTGCACTCTGCCAAAAAACAAACAACTATTCACATAGCTGTGTTTGAAGCCATTGGGATTGTTGATTAATGTGCTTTAAAAAGGAGAGAAAGTGATGACCCCTAGCACTGAACGGGGACAGGGTATGAAACGGATCTGCTGAAAGACTGCCTCAGGGATAACTGCAGAGAGGGTTGCCTTGATCATCATTTTGTACTTTGTTTTGGTGCCCAGTCTCCCTTAGGCAGACCTCCTCCTTTTGCTTCTAGCCAGTGGCTTTGTGTGTAGAACTGAACTGAGATTCTACCAATTCCTCGGTTAAAATTCTGTGGGCCCTGTGGGCCGCAGAGTGAGGAATAACATTGGAACTCACAGAAGCCGAGGGCAGGATGGTGGTTAATAGGTGTTGGGGCCAGGGGGTGGGATGGGGAGATGTTGGTCAAGTGGTATAAGGTGTTAGAAGGAGGAACAAGTTCTGGAGATCTTTGTACAACATGGTGACAATAGTTAATAACAATGTATACTTGAAAATTGCTAAGACAGTAGATTTTAAATGTTCTCACCACAAAAAGGAGTATGTGAGGGGATGGATATGTTAATTAGCTCAATTTAATCATTTTACAATGTGTACATATATCAAAACAGCACATTGTACACCATAAATATATACACTTTGTCAACTAAAATAAATAAATAAAAGAAACAACAATGACAAAAAAAAAAAAAAAAAAAAAAAACCAGACCAGCAGTCCATCTCAGATGATGGAGCTGTGTGTTTTCCATGGTTCTCCTAGCCTTTGACCTGGCCTTGTTAGTCTTTGTTTTCACACTGTCAACACTTTACTGTGGACCAATTCAGCCCTGGGCAGTGGTCGGCTAAGGTGACAGTAGAGCTAAATAAATGCCAGGGGCAGGTGGGGCAGGGGGTATCTCGAATGTTGTTTTATTTCAAAGTTTCTCCAGGATGATTGAGTCTTTTCAAAGAGTCCTTGAATTAACATGCTCTCTTCCTCTGAGAGGCCACAGATGGTATCTCCAGTGAGTAAGGATGCCACGGAAGATCTGCGGAAAGCAACTGGTCCTTTGGAGGCTCAGGCCTTGGTGAAACAGGATTTGCTGCCTGCAGACCAGGCCCAGGTCCTCAATGAGGTAGGGGGCAGATTCTGGCTCTTTCTTATGAAAGGAGGCACCAGAATGTGGACACATAGTGGTTGGGTTGGAATTAGAAAGCACTGCGAGGGTGGCTCCCGGAATTCTCTCTTTGCCCTCTAATTTAGGGCATCTTGGTCTTCATTATTTTTTGGAGAATGATTATTTGTATCTTCCACAGGGCCCATCATTGTACTGGCACCCAGTAGGCACCGATTCAGAAAACGAAGTGTTAGAGTGAATGTTCATGTGTTCTCTAAAATCCTCTTCATTGAGGAGCCTGAAGTCATTGGACTATTTTGCTCTTACTTTTCTTGTGGTAGATCTATTTAGTATTTATGATAAAGATTCCACAGAAGCTTTTTTTTTTTTTTTTTTTTGAGACAGGGTCTCCCTCTGTCGCCCAGGCTGGAGTGCAGTGGCACGATCTTGGCTCACTGCAACCTCCACCTCCTGGGTTCAAGTGATTGTCCCACCTCGCCTCCCGAGTAGCTGGGATTACAGGCACATGCCACCACACCCGGCTAATTTTTGTATTTTTAGTAGAGGCAGGGCTTCACCATATTGGTCAGGCTAATCTCGAACTCCTGACCTCAGGTGATCCACCCGCCTTGACCTCCCAAAGTGCTATGATTACAGATGTGAGCCACTGTGCCTGGCCTTGATTTTTTTTTTTTTTTTTTTTTTTTGAGACAAAGGTCTCACTCTGTCACCCGGCTTCAGTGCGATGGTGCAGTCATGGCTCACTGCAGCCTCAAAATCCTGGGCTCGAGTGATCCTCCTGCCTCAGCCTTCCAAGTAGCTGTATGGAAGTGATGGTGTAGTGGTGCCCCTGCCATGGAGGGATGGGGGCGGGATGGGGTTGTTTCTATCATTTATTAGCATATGTGTTAGAATAATGGTTGGTATTAGTGTCAATGAAGACACCACCAGGCGTTATAATTAGATTTGTATAATACTTTACAGTTTACAAGCATTTGTATCTGTAACACTTCATTTACTCCTGAGAACAACCTTGTCAGATAGGTGCCATTGTGTCTCCATTTAAGAAATGAGGAAACTGGCTGGGCCCGGTGGCTCATGCCTGTAATCCCAGCACTTTGGGAGGCCGAGGCAGGCAGATCACTTGAGGTCAGGGGTTCGAGACCAGCCTGACCAACATGGAAAAACCCCATCTCTACTAAAAATACAAAATTAGCTGGGCGTGTTGGCAGGTGTCTGTAATCCCAGCTACTCGGGAGGCTGAGGCAGGAGAATTGCTTGAACCTGGGAGGTGGAGGTTGCAGTGAGCTGAGATCGTGCCATTGCACTCCAGCCTGGGCAACAAGAGCAAAACTCTGTCTCAAAAGGAATGAAAGAAAGAAATGAGGAAACTGAGGCTGAGGGCTGTTAGAGACTTTACTAAGGCTATGTAGCTAATATGTTGCAACCTAATCCTTTATTTAGCATTTTAGAAAAGGAAGGATTTATTTAAGCACGCTAGCCAAAGTCTGATTCATTTCAGTTAGCAAAGGAGATGAGAACTGGAGGGCTTATTCTCCAGAAACAGATATTATGAGAATACAGCCTGGGAGGATTACAAACTTGATTTATTTATTTCTCACAAATACAATTCCAGCCTCTTAACTGGATTGCTGACTCACTGATGTGCTCTCCCCTGTGGGCAATAGGTATAGTTTTCTTGTTGAGTTGCCTGCCAACTGTTTGGAGAAGGGGCAGAAATTAAGGTATAATAGCATGAAACCAGGAACACTAATCTGAGTGATTTGAAGGGAAACTCACCAGGGAGACATTGTAAGCTCCCGCATGGGTTAGTGAGGGCTTTGAGTATCAAATGCCATTTGCATTCTTCCATGTAAGTCAGACGTCTGGCAGCAAATGTACTGTTTAAATGCAAGTCCTGGGGCTGGTCTAAGGTGAAATTGTAACTATTGATAGAACACTGTTAGTGACTTCAAGACTGAGACAATCTGTAGCCCGAGGTGGGCTGTGGATGAGAGAGAAAGACTATAAACCAGATTCTGTCTCTGCAGTGCTTTGGAGAGCTGATTGACAGTAATGTAGAAGTAACCCTTGAGTGGGAATTGTAGCAGGAGGATGTGTGGCAGAGTGGGAGTCAAACTAAACCCTAGG
This sequence comes from Homo sapiens, assembly GCF_000001405.40. Lineage (NCBI taxonomy): Eukaryota > Metazoa > Chordata > Mammalia > Primates > Hominidae > Homo > Homo sapiens. Next base: position 77,344,215 of record NC_000014.9, on the reverse strand, counting down.
AGCAAGAGCTATTAATGAGAGGAGCCACAGGGAGGTACTGTGCAGGTGAGGTAAGACCAAGGCATGGCCCAGAATCACAGTCAATGCAAATACTGTTAACAACCTGCGAGGGTGTTGGCGGACAAGGACCTTATAAAGGGTTTGGAGCAGGAAAGTTGCAAAAGGTAGGAAACAGTCTTTAAACAATGGAATATTTTGATGGCTTTAAAAAATTAGTAGAATTTATTAGCAACTTCTATTTGGAAGAAAGAGAAGGAACATTGACTAGTACATTAAGCTTTGAGTGGGGATAGTGGAGATAATAGAGCAGGGGTGGGGCAGCCTTCATGCAAAAAGAGATTAATTAGAATCTGCCACTCGAATACTCCTTTAACCAGAGTTCTGTTGTGCAGATGGCTAAGTATCAAGTTCCACAGAGGTCTGGGGACATCGTTATGATCCAGTCTGAACATACAGGAGCTATAGATGTTCTTTCAGCTGATTTGGAATCTGCAGATCTTCTGGGGGACCACAGGAAAGGTGAGACCTTTGGGAGTAAAGGAGGTGGTTTGTTTCCAGTAGATACTCAAAGAAAGGCAGGCAGACAGACAAATGGAAGGAAAGAAAATGACTTGTGAAAGGAAGTCAAGCCAGTAGAAAGAATGTCTGACTGTGCCAGCCTCTCTTAGCAAAATGCCCGGGGTACTCATGTTTCCTCATGGTTTCTCAGTGCTAAGCTGCTTGTCCTTTCAGTCTCCCCACCTCTGATGGCTCCTCCATGCATCTGGACCTTTGCCAAGGTGAAGGAATTCAAAAGCAAGCTGGGCAAAGAGAAGAACAGCCGTCTGGTGGTGAAGCGTGGTGAGGTGGTGACCATCCGGGTACCTACTCATCCAGAGGGGAAGCGTGTCTGCTGGGAGTTTGCGACCGATGACTATGACATTGGCTTTGGAGTTTATTTTGACTGGACCCCTGTAACTAGCACTGACATAACTGTGCAGGTCAGTGATTCCAGTGACGATGAGGATGAAGAAGAGGAAGAGGAGGAAGAGATTGAAGGTAAATTTAATTTTAACCTAATTTGCAGTTTTCTGGCTTAATCTGATTTCTGGTGACCATTTTGTGGGTTGTACCAGTCCTCCTCTTCCTTTGAATGCAGTTGAGAAACTCAGCATTACAAGCTAAGCTGAGTGGTACAGGCCAAAGAGAACATTCTGGTGGGGTTGATACTGCTGCCTTAATTGAAAGAAAGCCTCTTTTTCCTTATCGGTACCTCATTGTTTTCCCAACACCTTCCTGGGGGCAGGGATGGGGCAGGAGCAGAGAGAGGGTGAGTCATGCGGCAGTTTAGAGGGATGGTCATTCAGGTCGCATGTAAGCCAGAGATTATTTTACATCTCTCTCTTAGTTTGTAGATATTTATTCTTGGCCTGGAACCAAAGTGAGTGATTACAGTTTGCTAAAGGTATCCATTCTCTCCTTATCCCAAACTCTCATAGCTGGCTATTGGTTACTTCTTTACTTCATGCCCAGACAAGTTTTAAAAGGGTCTCCGGGCTCCATTCCGGCTGTTATTTGTAGTGTCTACACACTACACAAAGGATGGCCCAGAGGCATTTTTCAGATAACGTAAGAGTAGGTCCTAAGCATTAGTCTTATTCCTCTTATTCCTTGATTTTCTTATATAATCTTAAAGTCAGTCCTTTAACGTGCTTCTTCATAGAACAGCAAGCGGGCAGGGAAACCTACAGGTATCTGGGAAAGCGGAGAACCTTGTATCTTATTTGCTGCTTTTCAGGAATCCTAGGGTCACTTTATAGCACGTTTATCTGCAATTCCTATCTTCGTTAGCTAGTCCTTTCACCTACTAAATGATAGAATATCGGGATCTTTTCTTCTAAATATCTCTTTCTCCCTCTCAGAAATGTCCAGACACTTCTGAAGCTAGGAAGGCTCCTCTCAGGCTAAATCATTTTCTCAGTGGAGACATTATTGGCATTTGGGATGGGACATTGTTTGTTGTGTAGGTACTATCCTGATTTTAGCACTCCTGGACCCTTGGGTACTAAATGCAGATATCACCTAATAGTCACTGTGATGACCAAAAGATCACCAGACATTTCCAAATGTCTGTAGGAGGGCAATAATCTCCCCGCTCTGTGAAAGCCACTGGGTCACCTGGTCCTTCCGCTCACCTTCAGGCAGGACTTACGCAGTCTCTGAACACTTTGCCATTTTGCTCACGCAGAACCCGTTCCAGCTGGAGATGTGGAGAGAGGCTCCAGGAGCTCCTTGCGGGGTCGCTATGGGGAGGTCATGCCTGTGTACCGGCGGGACAGCCACCGAGACGTGCAGGCTGGCAGCCATGACTACCCTGGTGAGGGCATCTACCTGCTCAAGTTCGACAACTCCTACTCCCTGCTGCGCAACAAGACTCTCTACTTCCACATCTACTACACCAGCTGAAGGACTGCTGGGACAGGGGCAGGCTGTATTTGCTGGCTGAAGCAGGCTGCCAGCTGGTGCCTCTTGTTTGGGATAGGCAAGAGCCAAAGGTTCATGGGGGGCTGCTGAGCCTCACACCCTGTCTGGCATGCCTGACTGTTGGCCCACGTAGCTTTTTCCCCTTCTTGGCTTCTGCAGGTGGTGGTGTAGTGCCCCTGTTCTGTAGTCCCTGACTCATACCCTTCTTGCTTCAGACTCCAGCAAATTCCCTCTTGAAGGCACCTATGGGGCACAAGCCTAAAAGGAAGCAGGGCGATGTTTTTTAAAAATAGATTCATCTTGGCACAGGTTTATCATTCAGATTGCTGCCCTCTCCTCTCCCACAGCCCTTATTGCCAGTGCATTTAGTGGCACCCACTCTCTTCAGTTGTTGAGGTGCCAGAAGAGGGAAAAGCACATTGCCCATGAAGGAGCCCCATCTTTTGGTTGGAGAAAGCTCTATCCAGCCTGTCACCACTGCCATATTCCTGCCTGCTGGTTATTCTTGGTCTCTGCATAGCTGGGAGACCACACTGCCTTTGGAGGGCTATTACTATTCCTGATGGTAGACACCCCCTCCTTTCTCTTTCCTAAGTCTATGTTTTTGCCATTACAGCAAGAACATTCATGCAATCTCAAGTGATGATCAATGTAACCTAAGATCTTGTGGGAAGAAAAACTGCCCCCATTATTTCCTATTCCAAGAGCTGGTTTCCCTTACTATGGGCACTGGCAGTCAAAGTGGAGAGAGTGGAAATTAGGTACTGAATTGATGTCAGAACCCACATATTTGAAAGTCGTGTTACTTTTTTTTTTTTTTTTGGTATAATCAAAGAAGGAATGGTATCATCTGACAGAGAAGATGAAAAACAAAAAACACTCCAGAGTCCCCACCGCTTTTTTTTGTCTTTAGAGTAGGAGTGCTGTTTAGAAATGTTGCTTTGGAATCAAATGCAGTGAAACCCAATCAGGTTTCCAAAGTTTCTGCATTTAGCTTTCTTGCATTGAGGGCTTAAAGCTTTTGGTGTTCAAAGTCCCTTAGTTTAGGTGATAATGAAGCTTCACTATTGCTGCTGATTGTATTTGTTCTTTACCTGACCAAAGCTTGCATTTCCCTGGTGACAGCATTTCCTACTGTGTCACCCCTGAGGCTCAGGAGTGCCACAGAGTGCAGGTAGTGCTGCAGCCAGTGGTCACCAGAGCACCAGCTGCTGGGCCCCCAGGCGGAGGAGGAGACGGAGGTGAGATGGGACCTCAGCAGTCTCTGTGTTTGTACCTCCCTGTCTCTTACTCCTCGTGTTATGTCTGTTACTGCCTACGAATTCTGAAGAATAATTAGATTTATTTATTACTGTATTTATTTTTTTAGCACATTTCATTTTGCCTTTGAAACAGTTTCCATCTGTTTCTCAGAAGGCTTCCCATCTGTTCTGAGCCACTGAAGCCCCCTCTTTTATGGAGTTAAAGATGATATTTTTAGGAGAATTTGGGAAGCGATGATGTTTTATTTCTGTAGGTCAGTCCTGTGACGGCTTTGCGAGGAGTATGGCCCTTCAGAGATGGATGATGCCACCTTACTCCATGTTTGGGGTACAGTCCAGCACTCCCCATGAAAAATTCTAAGTTGTGAGGGAATCTGCCCATTTGCTGGAGATTGAGTGCAGAGGAATTCCCTAACCAATCAGAGATATCCCGTGATTCCAGGATTTCAGAGTCCTTTGTCTCCTCTGAGGTGTCACCTTCTTTGTGATGTTTCCTTTGACTCATTGTTAGATTCCTCACACCAAGGGTCTATCCCTACAGTAGCATAACTCAAGGAACGGGACTCTTCCCAGTGGGTCCCTAGTAGCATCTACATCACATCAAAGGGCAATATATCCTGCACCTGCTCTTCCCCTCGGAGCAAAGCCCCAAGTGGGATAGGATGTTGGGGACTGCCAGAGCATTCCCATTCTCTGAGCAGCATCATACCTCCATTATTTTATATTTGCAAATGTGTTTTGTAGAGGATTACACTGGCCAACATTTATATACCTTTAAAGAAATTATTTTAGTGACTGTCTGTTGAGGCAGTGAAGAGCTGATTTGCTGTGTGTCATCCCATTGGATAGCTGAGTGACCGCTCTTGCATCATTGAAGTTGAATCATGCCTTAGCTAACTGAATATAATCTTTGTAAAATAATTTTCTACTGAGCTGTTTTCTAGTCAGCTAAAGCCTTGCTTATTTTTCCTGTTTATTATTAACTTCTGCCTTTCTCTCAAATTGAAACAGTCAGGCCATACACAGCAAGCTCCCAAGGATAACACTTGTTATTATTTATTTTCACCATGAGATTCTCTGCTTATTTTCTTTGGAATCCTAGTTCTGTTGCATCAGGGAAGCCTAAGGGACTTGTTCCCCTCACCTCTGTGTGCCTCTTAGGGTCTGGTCACTTTTGAAGTCCTGGGCATGGTTACATTTCATTCATACTGGTTTTTCACCAACTGTCAGGGTTTCTGTGTTCCATTAGCACAAAATAGCTAAAAGAAGATATTTTCACTGTCTAATTCACTATTTTCATGTTACATTTCTGAAATAATTGAACTTTAGGGGCAAGATACTACTTACTGAAGCACAGGTAATTACTGAGAACCCACAGCCCAGCAAATTCTAAGAGACAGTCATTTCCTCAGCCCCTCCCAGTCCAAATTTATAGACCCAAACAATGAAATGAAAACCGTTTGCTTTGATCCTCACCCTGTTCTCTAGAGCACAAACAAATAGTA